>NT_187563.1:0-126434 GCF_000001405.40 Homo sapiens
GGATCTTGGCAGAGCCCTCACCATCTACCCATGCATACTGGGTCTTGGCAGAGCCCTCACCATCTACCCATGCATACTGGGTCTTAGTAGAGCCCTCACCGTCTACCCATGCATACTGGATCTCGGCAGAGCCCTCACCGTCTACCCATGCATACTGGGTCTTAGCAGAGCCCTCACCGTCTACCCATGCATACTGGATCTTGGCAGAGCCCTCACCGTCTACCCATGCATACTGGATCTTGGCAGAGCCCTCACCATCTACCCATGCATACTGGGTCTTCGCAGAGCCCTCACTGTCTACCCATGCATACTGGATCTTGGCAGAGCCCTCACCATCTACTCATGCATACTGGGTCTTGGCAGAGCCCTCACCATCTACTCATGCATACTGGGTCTTGGCAGAGCCCTCACCATCTACCCATGCATACTGGATCTTAGCAGAGCCCTCACCATCTACCCATGCATACTGGGTCTTGGCAGAGCCCTCACCATCTACCCATGCATACTGGAAGCAGAGTTTATCCCACAGGACAAATTCATGAACTGGGAAGATTTTTAAGATAAGATTTTGCCACATTGCTTATGTTAGATATAACATAAGCAATGCAAATGTAAGCAGTGCAAATGTAAGATATAGCTATAAAATCAATGCCCTTATTTTAAAATTGAGAAATGCTAAAATTATTTTTTCAAATTATTTCACTTTATTTCAAGAAAAATATGAATTCTTTACTTAAAGCAGAACAATGCAAGTCATTTTTTGTTTTGAAAAATAAATCACCAACACAACTCAGCTTTTATTATTAATTCTCATGCTGGCTCATATGCCGATGAATCTGAAGCTTTTGAAATCCAAAAATAGGAACTCAATGATGAGATAGACTTGATATCCCACCAATGGCTTGACATGCTTACATGAAACCACGTGCTTATAAACCAAGTATGTGTTTCAGCAAACATTTCTGCTTGAAGGATTGGCTGACAAATATGTCGGGATGTTTAGACTTTTCTTCCCCAAACTTCAAAGTTATAATTCAAAGAATAGAAAAAGCCTCAAGGCTTCATTATTACTATTATTAGTTTTGTCCATTAAAAGTAGCATTTTGAAAAAATACTGTTCATAAGCACAGGTACTTATAAACAGTGCAGTCTCCCTAGAGGTGAATCCGGTTTTCACTGTCTAGATTCTAGTATAGAGGATCTATTACTTTTAATCAACGTATTTGTAAAGATCTAATATTTTATTATTTACAGAATAATGCCATAAGGCACGTATTTAATAGTTGATGTTCAGTATAGTATATATATTGTATTTTCATAACTAGATTATATTCTTTTCAAAACTGAGCTAAAATTCCTTAGATTGAATGTTTGTAAGAAAGACTCATTACCACATGAACAAGAATCTAACTTTTTTGAAAATGGCTAAATAGTGCCATTATGTTCAGATGAAAGGAAACAAGATAATTCTGTGAAGAATAACCAGGTCATCTCTATTTTTGTTTAAAATCTCTTTCACATATTTTGTCAGTTACATACTACACATCCATTACAATATTTGGAAACTTTTCCTCGGGTTGCTTTGGAATTAAAAGTAGAACAATAATTCAGGTAATTCAGGTAAATGTTTGTTTCACAATTATATAACTTAGCCATGTCCTGTTCACATATTCTTTAAGAAAAGTGCCTATGTATATTTTAATGTATGAAAATAGGCTCCAATTAAATGAAAGAACAGCAACAGCCTGACAAAGCTCACCTTTGTACCTGGATTCTACTGAGAAGGAAAATCAAATGATCACCATCAAGTGACATTTTTTGATTTTATATTGCAAATATGTCTATACATATTTAGATCTAATGTGAACAAAAATTCAGGAAGCAGCCAGTTGCTTTTCTTTTCTTTTTTTTCTTTTTACTGAGACGGAGTCTTGCTCTGTCACCCAGGCTGGAGTGCAGTGGCGTGATCCTGGCTCACTGCCAACCGCCGACACCCAGGTTCAAATGATTCTGCTGCCAGTAGCTGGGATTACAGGTGTCTGCCACCAGGCCCAGTGAATTTTTTTTTGTATTTTTAGTAAAGACAGGGTTTTGCCATCTTGGCCAGGCTGTTCTTGAGCTCCCAACCTCGGGTGGTCTGCCCACCTTGAGCCTCCCAAAGTGCTGGAATTACAGGCGGGAGCCACCGCACCCTGCCCAGTTGCTTTTCATTCTGACACAGTGCGGAGCAGGTTCAGGGTAAGCTGTCACTGAGACGGAGCATTGGTGGTGCAGGATTCCATGTGACTCACCCTCAGCTGCCAAGTGGCCAACTGCATGGAGCCGCCGCATGTCCTCGGTCAGTGCGGTGGGATGCACGCTGGCATTCTAGCAAGTCTGGCACATTAGCATATAATCTGCAACAGGGTGCTGTCAGGTACTGAGACCACTTTTAAAACCCTCATGAATCTGCCACATGTAACTATATGTCTCCCTAATATGTTTCCATTCACACACTTTAGGAAGTGATATACCTACTTCGACCTTGCTCAGTCATTTCTGAAATTCCCATTTGGAATTGTCTTCAGAAATATGCCCAAAGAAAACCAGAAATCTAGTCTTACGTTTTCTAAGCTTTTTCACTTGTGATTCTCCACACCTTAACCTCATCACTCCTCCAGTTGACTGTCCTTGTCTCCAAATGGCTTTAGAGTATTAAAAAAGAAACAAATCTGAAATATCACTTCCACCATTAAGAGTGCATTTGAAAAGGCCATTTCAAAAGAGTAGTGCCCCAGACATGGTGAGCACTAAGACAGACAGCACCTCTGAGTGACACTGCGGAAAAACCAGGCTCACTTGTCCAAGCACGTTCGCAACAGAGTCAGTTACTTTTCCTCCACTGGGTTTCCCAGTTTCCATGACGACAGCCTGTCCTGAATGTCCATCTTTGGGGTGAGGCTTGAGGCTTCCTTGTCTTTTGTCCTCCCCACAATCAGATCCCATTACTTTTTTCGGGTCATCCCTTATCTGACCTTATTCCCCATCCCCCTATGCTGATGGCGGCTGGCCTCCTGCAGTCCTGGGGTCTGGTCCCCTCCATCCACCACCCTCAGCCTCGGCCATCTCTACCTTGTCCACTGGAACAGCTTCCTGTCCCTCCCTGAAAATTCCACCAACCCTTCCTCACACCCATCAGAGGCTGGCTCCCTTTCATCTGATCAACCAAGGACACACAGGGGCGCCTCCAGACCTCCCCTGCATGCCTTCCCCACACCAGGAGCCCCTGGTCAGCGGCCGCGAGGGCACCCTCACCCTCTCCTGCACACTCTCTCCCCATCGAGGAACCCTGGCTGGCTCAGCGGTGGGCTCGGGGCCTTTCATTTGTTTGAGGTCGAATGCTGAGTCCCTCACCTTCAGAACATGTGAGTGCTACGGACTGCTCATCATTTCACGCATGTGCACATGCACTGTCTCTCACACACGCACGCTTTCGCACACGTGGAGACAGGCGAGTACTTTCTAGTCAGCATGACAGCAGCGGCTCCATCCTGTCAAGCTACTTTCCCATATTTTATTTCCTTTCACTCCCAGAGAAACCGTGGAATTCATGCATTTTTTTTTCCAGTTTTACAGATGAGAAAACCAAAGTACTGAGAGGTAAATGAAGTATCCGAAGCTGGTCAGTGGCAGAATCTCAATCAACACACAGGCTCCTATGCGAACCCACACACTGAGGGCATGTTTCACAGGGGAGAGCTCCGTTCTTAGCTACAGACTCAGGCAGGCTTGGAGTCACTCCTCTCTGCAGTCTGAGCTCCGCGGGTCTCCGCCAGAGCCTCCAAGCCTCCCCCCAGTAATAATATTAATAATAGTTACTATTCTTTGAATAGTAATTCAATAATAGTATCAGTCTTTCAAAAAGATGGTGGTCTTTATTCTCTATTTTCCATAGAATGTGGTCACAGGCATCGTGTGAGCACTGCCATTTCTGTGCTTCTACCACACACACTCTAAGAGGCCAGGGGGTGTCTGCTCCGGCAGCTCCAGATGCACCTTCCAGGGGCGTCTCCTCCTGTCACTCAGCGCTGCCCCCAGACCCTTCCTACCCGAAGTTCTGTGGCCACAGCCATGCAGACTTTATCCTACACTCTGACCCACTCACAAAGCACTGCGGTTCTAGGTATGAAAGCTTCTCACTCTTAACTGACGTGGGCTGTGCGTTTATAAGAGAGCCGGGTCAATGCTGGTGTAACTGACACGGGCTGTGGGTTTGTAAGAGAGCCGGGTAGGTGCTGGTGTAACTGACGCGGGCTGTGCATTTATAAGAAAGCCCGGTCGGTGCTGGTGTAACTGACACGGGCTGTGGGTTTGTAAGAGAGCCGGGTAGGTGCTGGTGTAACTGACGCGGGCTGTGCATTTATAAGAAAGCCCGGTCGGTGCTGGTGTAACTGACGCGGGCTGTGGGTTTGTAAGAGAGCCGGGTAGGTGCTGGTGTAACTGACGCGGGCTGTGCATTTATAAGAAAGCCCGGTCGGTGCTGGTGTAACTGACGTGGGCTGTGCATTTATAAGAAAGCCTGGTCGGTCCTGGTGTAACTGTTGCGGGCTCTGCCTTTGTGTGAAAGCCCGGTCGGTCCTGGTGTAACTGACACGGGCTGTGGGTTTGTAAGAGAGCCGGGTAGGTGCTGGTGTAACTGACGTGGGCTGTGCATTTATGAGAAAGCCTGGTCGGTCCTGGTGTAACTGACGTGGGCTGTGCATTTATAAGAAAGCCTGGTCGGTCCTGGTGTAACTGTTGCGGGCTCTGCCTTTGTGAGAAAGCCCGGTCGGTGCTGGTGTAACTATGAGAAAGCCTGGTAGGTGCTGGTGTAACTGACACGGGCTCTGAGTTTATGAGAAAGCCTGGTCGGTGCTGGTGAACATGGGTGTCTCCCCTCAGAGAAGTAAGCTGAGGTGTGTGCACCTCTCACAGCCCAGTGGGGAGCACAGGGCTGCCTGCCCACGCTCACTGGCTGGCTCAGTGCCCTCCATAGGCTCCTGTCCACCGGCAGGCGTGCTGCGGCGTTGGTGAGAGCCCCGGGGCGGAGGCTCACCATCAGGCTTCCAGCATATGGTGGATAATAATCTCTGGCAACACAAAAAGGCAGGCAGCAGCTCAGCTCACTGTTTCATCTGTTGATCAGTCTACAGGTCCAGGGTTTTAAAAATGGATTTTTGCTAAATGAATACCACAACATATGCCACCAGAAAAGTGCGTGTGTGCCATTTCAAACACCCGCCGTCCTGCTGCTCCGCGCTGCCGAATCTGCTCCTCTCTCCTCTGGCCCCGCGTCCCTCAGAAGGAGCTGAGGTCAGAAGGAGGTGTCTCCAGGAAACACTAGGGGACCTTCATACCTGAGGGGCCAAAATAGCTGTTTTCAAGCTGCTGCTGTTGGAGACCGGTCTTAGGAAGGGGCTGTGATAGAGCTCTTTGTGGAAAGCCTTAAATTAAGATGAAGGGGAGAAAAGGAAGTATCGAAAGTTTGGAAAAATAGAGAAATAAGAAGAGCTCCTAAACTGAGCCTGTGGCAAAGGGAGTATCCTGAAATTGAACGGGCTCATTCTTGAAATGTCAGTGTGGCCGGCAGCCTCTGAGACGGCCCAGGGCCTCCGTCCTCCTGGAATTCTCTTTCCTGAGCGCCACTGGACCTGGTGACTCCACTCCGATGCCTGGAGGACAGCAAAGGCAGCAGAGATGGCTGCTAAGGACGCACACTGGGGTCCCCGACCGACTTTCGAGCTCCGAGGGATGTCTGCTGCCAGGTGGTGGCGGCTGATGGGGAAACCTGGTGGACAGGGCCCATGGACAGGGGCTAACAGCACAGAGGGCCTGGGGCTGCCGCTGCTGAGCTGAGAGGACACCCTCAGCACAGCCTATAGGGACGCAGCTGGAACCCCCAGCTGGTCCACACCAGGACCCCAGGCCCACAGAAACTGTAAGATAAAACATGGTTGTGTTAAGCTAAGTTTCGGGATAACTCGCTGTGCAGTGGAGGGTAACTACTGGAGCTAGCAACGTCAAGCCGTCCAGGAGAGAACCAGATGGGAACACCCAGCGTGGGTCTTCCACAAAAGAACTTCTTCTCAGCCAGGCAGAGGCACCTGCAGGAGGTGAAAGGCAAGTTCCCGGCCAGCCTGGTGGGGTTCCTGCGGTCCAACCCCCACCTCAGCACGCTCCCCTCACTCCCCGCGGCCGCTTGTCCTCTGCCGCTGCTCTGGATTTGGGATTCCGAGACTGGCAGGTCAGGAGGCCCGGAAAACTACATTTGCCTCACTCTGGTTCTCCGGGGCTGTGGTGAGGCTGCCTCTCCCCTGCCCTCCACTTTCTCTTTCCCTGTAATATTTATGTAGCTGAGTGCAGCAAACATTTTGAATGCGTGATCACCGTGGGGCTCAGGGCCCTCTGAAGCTCTCACTCGCCCAAAGCTGACGGCCTCTGTTTTTTCCAGCTGCAGCTCCGGGTGCCATCCTCCGCGGGGTGAGGTGCCACCAGGAATCCCTTTCCTTAGATTGTCTGATGCTGTGAGTTAGAAGATTCCTGTTTCTACTCACACGATTGGGTGCCCAGTATACACTGCCATGGTTTAGAGGAAGCTCTGCCACTAACTGTGTGACTGAGGCAAGTGGCTTCACTGCCCTGTGCCTCAGTTTCTCTCCCTGAAAATGGGAATAAAATGTACTTGACTCATGGGCTTAATGAACTGATCCCGGGAGCTCTTGGCTGTAAGGTGCTCAGGACAGGGTGGCATCCACACCCTCAGGGGCCCTGCTACTTTTTATTACCATCTTGACTCTAGGAGCTCCGACCTTGGTTTTCATGGATGCCAATGGAAATTCTGTTTTCAGACAAATGTGGAAGGCATCCTTAAAGATAATAGGATTAAGTAACACAAATATAAAGAGGAAAAATGATCACCGATGAAGAGTGCAAGAGACCACGTGTGTGTGCTTGGGAATGGAGGGCCTGAAGGTCCCACCCTCGGCTGGGCCCGCCCTGCCCCATGCTGCTCCCGCTCTCCTGGGCACCCTACCACCTCCTGGCTCCCCACATTCGCTTCTGGGCACACGTGGAGGGAGGGCAGGTGCCCCTCAGGTGTTCCCTTTCTTTCCTTCTCAGCACCTCCTGAGGAAGCCCCAGGACAGAACAGGAACCACTGGAGTCAGAAGCAGAATGAGGGGCATCTGTATTCACTGCAGTTTACGGCGGCCATTCTATTGCTCTCGTAACTTGCAAAGCAGACTTTTAACTTAGAATTGACATATACTAAATATTTAAAGTAATCTTCATAAGCCCCAGAGTGTGTGTCTGTAACTAAGGACAATTTTTTCACAATTAAAAAACCCTCATGAAATGACAGTGACTGTTATCAAATGTCTAACTCTGTGCTCGAGCACTAACCTCCATGCTTGCAGGAAGGCTCTTTGTGAAACTGACAATAATCCTGTGAGGTGAGCACCATTAAAACCTGTACTTGGCCGGGCGTGGTGGCTCACGCCTGTAATCCAGCACTTTGGGAGGCCCAGGGGGCGGATCACGAGGTCAGGAGTTCGAGACCAGCCTGGCCAATATGGTGAAACCCCGTCTCTACTAAAAATACAAAAAAATTAGCTGGGCATGGTGGCATGCGCCTGTAGTCCCAGCTACTCAGGAGGCTGAGGCAGAAGAATTGCTTGAACCCAGGAGGTGGAGGTTGCAGTGAGCCGAGATTGTACCACTGCACTCCAGCCTGGGTGACAGAGTGAGACTCCAAAACAAAACAAAACACAACAAAACAAAACCCTCCATTTTCCAGACAGGCAAATGAAGCCCAGAGTGACAAGGTAACCTGCTTAAGGTCACACAGCAGGAGGCGAGGCAGGGTATGAATTGAGTGAATCTGACGCCAGAGCCTTCTGGATCAACATGGGCCACATTCCCCCAGAATGCCAGGAACTGAGTGAATGTGACCCCAGTGCCTTCCAGATCAACGCGGATCACATCCCCCAGAATGCTGGGAATTGAGTGAATCTGACCCAGGTGCCTTCCGGATCAATGCGGATCACATCCCCCAGAATGCTGGGAATTGAGTGAATCTGACCTCAGTGCCTTCCAGATAAATGCGGATCACATCCCCCAGAATGCTGGGAATTGAGTGAATCTGACCCAGGTGCCTTCTGGATAAACGCGGATCACATCCCCCAGAATGCTGGGAATTCAGTGAATCTGACCCAGGTGCCTTCCGGATAAACGCGGACCATATCCCCCAGAATGCTGGGAATTGAATGAATCTGACCCAGGTGCCTTCCAGATCAATGCGGATCACATCCCCCAGAATGCTGGGAATTGAGTGAATCTGACCCAGGTGCCTTCTGGATAAAGGCGGACCACATCCTTCCAGAATGCTGGGAACTGGGTGAATCTGACGCCAGTGCCTTCCAGATCAATGTGACCACATCCCTCCAGAATGCCAGGAACTGAGTGAATCTCACCCCAGTGCCTTCCAAATCAACGTGGACCACATCCCCCTAGAATGCCGGGAACTGAGCCAATCTGTCCCAGGTGCCTTCCGGATTAACGTGGACCACATTCCTCCAGAATGCTGGGAATTGAGCAAATCTGACCCCAGCACCTTCCAGATCAATGTGCACTACACCCCTCCCAATGCCAGGAACTGACCAAATCTGACTCCAGTGCCTTCTGGATTAGCGGGAACCCCATTCCTCCAGATGGTGGGAACTGCGTGAATCTGACGCAGTGCTGTCTGGATTAGCGTGAACCCCATTCCTCCAGATGGCGGGAACTGAGTGAATCTGACCCAGTGCCTTCCGGATCAACATGCACTACATCCCTCCACGATGTGGGAACTGGGCGAATGTGACCCCAGTGCCTTCCAGATCAATGTGGACCACATCCCTCCAGAATGTTAGGAACTGAGCAAATCTCATGCCAGTGCTTTCCGGATCAACAGGGACCACATCCCTCTAGAATGCCGGGAACTGAGCGAATCTGACCCAGGTGCCTTCTGGATAAACGTGGACCACATCCTTCCAGAATGCTGGGAACTGGGTGAATCTGACCCCAGTGCCTTCCAGATCAACGTGACCACATCCTTCCAGAATGCTGGGAATTGAGTGAATCTGACCCAGGTGCCTTCTGGATAAAGGCGGATCACATCCCCCAGAATGCTGGGAATTGAGTGAATCTGACCCAGGTGCCTTCTGGATAAACGTGGACCACATCCTTCCAGAATGCTGGGAACTGGGTGAATCTGACCCCAGTGCCTTCCAGATCAACGTGACCACATCCCTCCTGATTGCCAGCAAATGAGCGAATCTGACCCCAGTATCTTCCAGATCAATGTGGACCACATCCCTCCAGAATGCCGGGAACTGAGCAAATCTGACCCAGGTGCCTTCTGGATCAAGGTGGAACACATCCTTCCAGAATGCCGGGAACTGAGTGAATCTGACCCCGGTGCCTTCCGGATCAAGGTGGACCACATCCCTCCAGAATGCCAGACAGATGAAGGACACAGAAAACTTAATAGTAAAACATATTTTCTGATACGCAGGTACCTGGGAATCTATAGATTCAGGTTTAGTGCTGTGGGTTGTCCTTTTATACACAGCACACATACCACAAACACACACAGATACAGCATACACGCACACACACAACCACATTCACATAGACAAGTACCTCGCACACACATACACAGAAACACACACACCACACATACACACAGACACATACCCAGCATACTTACACACACAGCACACACACAACCACATTCACACACACATAGGCATATAGTAAACACCAACTCAAGCACACATCACACGTGCATGGACACCCCCCCCACACACGTGGAGATAGAGTCGACACTATATTAGCTTCCCATGAATTGATGTCATAAGCTCAGTTAACATACGTGCCCGCTAAGTACCCTTCAGGGATGGCAATGCTAACCCGCTGTAGTTTAAAAGCTTCAGGGAAGACTTGATCAGTCTCGGCAGGTATTACAGGCAGAGGCAGATTTCTTTTTCCTTTTTTTTTCTTTTTTTTTGAGACAGAGTCTCACTCTGTCACTAGGCTGGACTGGAGTGCAGTGACACGATCTCTGCTCACTGCAACCTCCGCCTCCTGGGTTCAAGTGATTCTCCTGCCTCAGCCTCCCATAATCCCAATTGGGATTACAGTTGGGATTACAGGCACGCACCACTACGCCCAGCTAATTTTTGTATTTTTAGTAGAGACGGGGTTTCACCATGTTAGCCAGGATGGTCTTGACCTTGTGATCCACTCGCCTTGGCCCCCAAAGTGCTGGGATTACAGGCGTGAGCCACTGCGCCCAGCCAGAGGAAGATTTCTTATGCTGCTTTTAAAACAAAAGTAGCCACAAGAGTTAACATTTCTAGTTTTAACTCTCAAAAATAAAGTCCTTGTGGATTTTATGATCTCATTTCAGCAAATGTCACTGCAAAGTGGAGATGCTATCATCCCTTAGCAGTGTGCATCTGCCTTGGGCCGCTGGGGCCAGCCGCTGGCTGCTCTGCAAGGAAGGGTCCCTGTAAGCAGGACAGTGGCCTTCCAGGGCTGAGGCTGGAGAAAGGTGCTTTGCCTCGGATGGGCACCCTTTCTTTTAGCTCTGATTCTGCCCCGTGCCGTGTGCCTCTGAGTGTTGCCTTCCCTTCTGAAGCTCAGGCACATCCTCTCCTCTGCTGCCAGCTCCCTGGTGCCAGTTCCCTCCTGCTTCCATTCCCTGCCTTCCAGGCGGGGTGCCACCCTGTGTCCCCTTACGATTATCTCTCTGCTTGTGCAAGCATCACCATCTGCCCACGACCCTTCAGCCAGGACCTGCAGCACTCAGAGCTGGCCACAGAGACTCGTTCCTTCCACAGGGACTGTCCAGATCATCCTAAAGGTTGGGCAGTGGTGTGAGTGGCTCTCGGCCATTCAGGAGTACCTGCAGGTGGCAGAAGGTACTCCAGAGTTGGACGGAGGGGCCGTCCCAGGGCTCTCGGTGAGACTGAGAAGGTTCATGAGCTCCGTGTTCCTGTCTGAGATGACCAGAACCAGGGCAGGCCTCATGTGTGCCCCAACTTCCGTAAAACCACACATGCATAGTCACAAGCGGCTCCCTGCTTTATGCATTCTAAAGCAATTCAGCATTCCACATGAAAACGCAGCCGTGACGGCACTGTGTGATTGATAATGCTCTCCGTGAGACTTACGGGTCCATAAACCAAAGAATGGCTATAATCACCCACAGGTCCATCATTTCTTTATCCTTTACATCAAACATGAGATGGTCATAGTCACAATTCAATAACAAGCCACGTATGGCTCCATGAAAGCCACCAGTGAGAGCTGAACGTGCTCTCCCAGCTACTCTTCTCTACTAGAGCCTGCACCCCACCGACTTTGAAAAGAGATAACTGTCACCTGGGAACCGACACTCCTGCTGGGGAGGGGAAGCCACCTGGGGCTGGAGACTACAGTCTGGACCCTCAGGCGGCAGAGGAGCGAGCCGAGAGAGACAACTGTGGCTTCTGCCTCTCCCAGTGGGAGTGAGGCCCCTGGTCAGAGGGCCTGGGTCGGGGGCTGTGCTGCCCATGGCTGGGTGGGATTTTAATCTAGGCTCTCACAGGTGGTCACACAGAGCGGCCCTGCTGACTCCCATCAGGGGAGATGGAGGCCATACGTGCCACAGATCAATACGATGCCCTTCCATGCACAGCTCTGGACAAAAGCTCCTCCTGGGCATAGTGTCTGAAATGAGCTGCTTACTTTTATTTCCAAGAAAATGACAAAGACGATTTTGACCCCTGACAATTCTTTCAGTCCTGGTCCTCCTGCGGGTAGCTGAGAGCCTAAGTGAGGTGTGTGGGACAGAATGAGGTGCTGGGAAATTACTGGCAGTGGACATTTACCACTGGGTTACTCGGACATCTAGAGCACGAAGTGAGTGACACAGAGGCCGGGGACCCTCCTTCCCTCCCAAGTGGGCACCCCTCTGAGAAATTCCCTGCGAGCCCCCCAGCTCTGTCTTCTATGGGGACTTCGACCTCGCTCCACGTTGTGCAGCCACATGGCCCACAGGAATGGGCGGTCCTGCTACATGGGAAGGAGCTTAGGGTTTAACACGCCTGCTCCAGGAGCTGCGCCACACACCCGCCTTCAGATTCAGCCCGGCGTGCCTGGGCTTCTGAAGTCCCAGAGCACTCAGCCCGGCCCATCCACGGATGGCTGGGACAGAGATTTACACATACAAGTCGGATATTCTGGGGAGCTGGAATTCAAGGATGGACAATGAAAGCCCAGAGACAGAATCCTCATCAGTGAGCAGACAAGGCTCTGGCAGGGATGTTTTGGGGGAGCAGTGGTTCCTTACAACGTGAGCCTGAAGGAGTTTCCCTCACTTAGCCCTCAGCTGGGGGCAAACCGTGGATGCTGGAGAGAGGAGCGTGAGGCATACAGAGGCCCAGGTGGCTCTGTGGGGGTCGGACGCATGGGTGTGTCCCCACCACCCACAGAAGGGTGCTCGCCTGAGACACAGGGTCGGCCGTGAGGACACAGTTTCAGGAAGCATCCACACAAGGGGAACCCACAGGGCACTTGGGTTATACGAACCTAACAAAGAGCTAAAATCTGAGCTCTCTCCCTCCTGCGTCCATTCGATCCCCTTGGACGAGGCTTTCTGGAACGTCCAGAATAAAGAGAATCCTCATTTCTCAGCACACGGACTTCTGATGTGAGAAGACAGTGACTGTGTGCTCATTAAAACTCACTCTTGGCCAGGTGTGGTGGCTCATGTCTGTAATCTCAGCACTTTGGGAGGCCGAGGCGGGAGGATTACTTGGGCCTAGAGTTTCAGACCAGGTGGCCAACACAGTGAGACCCCATCTCTACAAACAATAAAAAAATCACCCAAGCTGCCTAACCGCCCCCACCCCCCCGCCCCGTGGCACAGGATGTTTCCCAGGGCAGAGAGTGACATGGCTGCGGGGTCCCGCTGCAGAAGAACCCTGTGCAGTGAGGGCCACAGGCCTGGGACCCCAAGCCGCTCAGGACCGTGCACAGCTCCCAGATGTCCCCTGGGGGGACATCTCTTCCGGAGGATCTTTAGGGTCCCTTTCAGCCCTGCCATCTGTACGCCCACCATGGACTGGTGCCTACTGCCTGCCGCCTGGGCACAGGTGCCCTTGCGCCTGGCCCTCAGCCCGCCCATGTGCAGGAGGGGTTCCGGGGCAGCCGGGTTACACGCGAGAGCCCCACGCGCCGGAGGTTCCGGGGCAGCCGGGTTACACGCGAGAGCCCCACGCGCCGGAGGTTCCGGGGCAGCCGGGTTACACGCGAGAGCCCCACGCGCCGGAGGTTCCGGGGCAGCCGGGTTACACGCGAGAGCCCCACGCGCCGGAGGTTCCGGGGCAGCCGGGTTACACGCGAGAGCCCCACGCGCCGGAGGTTCCGGGGCAGCCGGGTTACACGCGAGAGCCCCACGCGCCGGAGGTTCCGGGGCAGCCGGGTTACACGCGAGAGCCCCACGCGCCGGAGGTTCCGGGGCAGCCCGGTTACACGCGAGAGCCCCACGCGCCGGAGGTTCCGGGGCAGCCGGGTTACACGCGAGAGCCCCACGCGCCGGAGGTTCCGGGGCAGCCGGGTTACACGCGAGAGCCCCACGCGCCGGAGGTTCCGGGGCAGCCGGGTTACACGCAGAGCCCCACGCGCCGGAGGTTCCGGGGCAGCCGGGTTACACGCGAGAGCCCCACGCGCCGGAGGTTCCGGGGCAGCCGGGTTACACGCGAGAGCCCCACGCGCCAGAGGTTCCGGGGCAGCCGGGTTACACGCGAGAGCCCCACGCGCCGGAGGTTCCGGGGCAGCCGGGTTACACGCGAGAGCCCCACGCGCCGGAGGTCCGGTTTGTGCACCTGCACACGGGTCCTGTCTGTGCTCCCCTGCAGCCCGGGGGAGTCCTGGCCCTTCACCACGTGGGAGGCTGTCCTGGGACCTGAGGACTCCGCCCACACTCCATGCCCTCCTTCCCTTCCTCAGGCCCACCTGACCCCGGCAGACCTCCTGCTCTCCTCTTTGTCTTCTGGCCTTGCAGGCAGCTGTCTAATGCAGGGCCTAGGCCTGAGGACAAGCCCCCGGGGTGGCCAAGCTGGCTGCATCCCTGGGACCCTGGTCTCCGTCACTGGGACGCAGCAGTTCTGCCGGGTTAACCTCAGGGGGCATATGTGTCTCTCCCATGGCCGTCATTTTCTACCGACTTTGTTATTTCAGCATTCATTTAGTGCATATATTCCTTTTAAGAGGTGTCTAAATCCTTCGTGGGCCACAACAGGGTAGACATCAGGGGCTGTAGCCTCCAGTGTCTGGGGGGCCATGCAGGCCACATGAGTGGGGGGAGGGGCTGCGTGGTGGAAGGGGGGCCGGGCAGCTGGGGGCACCATGAGTGGGGGGAGGGGCTGCGTGGTGGAAGGGGGGCCGGGCAGGCCACATGAGTGGGGGGAGGGGCTGCGTGGTGGAAGGGGGGCCGGGCAGCTGGGGGCACCATGAGTGGGGGGAGGGGCTGCGTCGTGGAAGGGGGGCTGGGTGGCTGGGGGCGGCCAGTCCTACCCCAAGGGGAGAGCACACAGGTACTGCTGGCTGGGAATGCGGGTCTGGGGTTGCTCAGATCTTTGATTAAGAAAATAGAAATCAGGCATTTGTATTATTTATGTAAAATTTCTCAATTTTGAAAACCCTCATTGAGCTCTTAGAGTACAAACTGTGTCCCCTCAAGAGGATATGTTGAGTCTTAACCCCAGGACCTCAGCATGTTATGTAACTTGGAAAAAGGACCTTCACAGATGTAATCAAGTGACCACGAAGTCTCTGGGGTAGGCCATGAATCCAGTAGGACTGGTGTCCTGATCAAAAACGGAAATTTGAGGCTGGGCAGGGTGGCTCACGCCTGTAATCCCAGCACTTTGGGAGGCTGAGGCGGGCGGATCACCTGAGGTCAGGAGTTTAAGACCAGCCTGACCAACATAGTGAAACCCCGTCTCTACTTAAAATGTAAAAATTAGCCAGGCGTGGTGGTGGGCACCTGTAATCTCAGCTACTTGGGAGGCTGAGGCAGGAGAATTGCTTGAACGGAGGAGGTGGAGGTTGCGGCTACCCAAGATTGCGCCATTGCACTCCAGCCTGGGCTGTGAGAGTGAAACTCCATCTCAAAAAAAAAAAAAAAAAAAAAAAGGGAAATTCAGACACAGACAGACGTGCACAGGGAGCGGGTCACACACAGAGGCAGGGACTGGAGTGGGGCAGCCACAAGCCGAGGGACACTGGGAGCTGTCAGGTGCTGGCAGAGGCTGGAGGAGGAGGGAGCACAGCTTCAGACATGCTCTCAGACTTCTGGCTCCCAGCACTGTGGGAGAATAAACGCCTGTTGTTTGAAGGCCCCTAGGTTCATGGTACTTGGTGAGGGCGGCCTCGGGCAGCTCACACATGGGCCACACAGAACGTGGCTGTGGGCGGGATTGTTCTGGGTGAGCCATGCGCATCCCCTGCTATCAGCAACACAGTGGACTCACACTGGCTCTAAAACCCCTGAGGTCGTTTCCATCTGATGGTCGCACTTGGGCAGGGCTCTTCTGGTGCCAGCGGGAGACCTTACTCAGACCCTCATCTCCATCCACCCCTCCTCCTCCTAGCACTGCATGGTCCAAAAGTTTACTCAACCCAATGACGCATCTTTAATTCTATTATTGACAACATCGTGGAATATAACAGAATTGAGGAATAGCCCCACGGCACGTTTCTAGAGAACCCCTTTGCACTTAATCTATTTTCTCCTCATTAAGTAATTATTTAATTAATAGCCTGTAAGAATAGTGTACGTAGGTAGAAATTTATCTAACGGCATGATCGTTCCAAGTCTCTATCTTTTCTTTTGGATACTTTGTAAAAAAAAAAATCATTAAAATCTATACTTGTGATGTCAACAGCCGTTCCTCCATCTCTCAGCAAGAAATGCCATCAGCAAAGAGACGGTGTGACGCCCGGCTCCCTCCCCGTCACTGATACGGCCTAGGATCTCACCAGGGACCAAGGCAAGCACACTGGTCTGCGGTTCCCACAATCTACCTGTAACCCTTTCTGAATGTTTGTCCAACTCTCTTATTCCGGCGTCTTTCCCAACTCTGCCAATCCCTCAGACATTCCCGACAGCTGTGGCCAGATCCAGCTTTGCTACGGACACGGAGCCACAGAACTGGTCTGGACATGGAGCCACAGAACTGGTGAGAGCCCCACGAAGCAGCTCTCGTGGGCTGTGCCCTCCAGCCCTCACATGGCACACACCTGCTGCTCTGCAGAGCACGCCTCGCTCCCCTTCACGAAGGAGCGGAAATACAATGGCAGCCGCGAAGCTCTGGCTACTAAGATGCATTATCTGCTCCAAGCTTTCAATTGAGTGATTATGTCTTAAAAGAATCACATAAATGATACAGCTCCACATTTTGAGGTGTGTAAAGCCACGAAGGCATCGTCTTCTATATCTTATTCTTGCTGACTATATGACGATGACATTCTTAGGTGAGCTCACTACCTCATGGCATCAACTCTGCAGAGACGTCTCACAGGTCACGTTAGAAGGCTATGAAAAATTAAAACACATAAAAAACAATGTTTAAACCTGTGTGCATCACTGAGTTTGACAGACACAGTGTATGGATGCCAGATTAGTTCGTTTTACTGTCAGTATAGTACAGTCCGTTAAACTGCGCATCTTTGATGAGTTACTACCTGTGGGGTGGCACCTGACCCAGGCCAGGACAGTCTGAGTGGTCCTTCCTTTCGCCCTGTGCAGGGCTGGGCTTGCGACCTCAGTCTTTCCCGGCAGCTCTGCTTGGCAGAATTGAGGGATGTCTCCATTTTATCCAGGGCGAGCTACTATAGGAATAACAATGGAGGCTTAAGATCTGTAGAAAAATCTATGAGTTTAGGAATTGTGATTCCTGATTTTTATTGAGTAAAATGCTCACCCTAATTTCTTCAACAGAAAATCAATATTCCAAACCCTCCAGAAATCTGGTATTTGCAGGAATCCCGACACTCACTAACAGAGGTGGCACAAAAGGCCCTGAAGTCAGGGATCCCTGGGGAACGATGCCCAGTCCGACGTGCTTCTCCTGAGCCGATTTTGGGTTTCCCGTTTTCTAAAGCCAGCTCCCCAGGGAACGGCGCCCAGTCCGACATGCTTCTGAAAGGATTCTAGGTCTCCCGCTTTCTGAAGCCAACTCCCTGGGGAACGGCACTGAGCTTGAGGCGCTTCTCCTGAGCAGATTCTAGGTCTCCCGCTTTCTGAGGCCATTTCCCCAGGGAATGGCTCCAAGCCCGATCACTTCTCCTGAATGTATTCTGGGTCTCCCGCTTTCCGAGGCCAGCTCCCCAGGGAACGGCGCCCAGCCCCATGTGCTTTTCCTGAATGGATTCTCCGTCTCCTGCTTTTGGAGGCCAGCTTCCTGGGGAAGAGCTCTGAGCCCGACGCGCTTGTCCTGCTTTCTGAGCACTTGAATCTGGTGGCTTCTGTGTCATCTTCACTCTGAATGAGTGAAATGTGTGCTTAAAATGGCCTTGAGAAAAGCACCCCCTGCAGGGTGGGAGAGAAATACCGACAGGTGGGGAGGGCTGGAGGCGGGAGTCCAGGCCGTGCGCCCAAGAGGAGGGTCGTGGTGGGAATGAATGAGGCCCAGGGAGTGTTGGGAGACAGGCCGGCGGCCGCGGGAAACCCCTCAGCAACCTACCAGCACAGATGCAAGGACACTGGGGTGCCAGTCCCCCCGCTACCATAAAGGAAGAAGAGGAAAACAGAATGAGGCAAAGTGATAGGGGATGAAGGGCATGAGGAGGCTGCTGTGTGCTCGCAGAGGAGGGGAGGCCCCCGGTTCTGCTTGGCGCTGGCTACTCTTCTTGGTTGTTGTTTTCTAAGTGCTGTTGACTGCTGGCTGGACCTCAGTGAATGACCCTTCTGCTAAAGCTGCCAGGCACTGCGCTGGTGTAAGCTGATCATAGCTCCATCATCCCAAATCTAAACCACTCCAGAAACAGGCCGGCCCCTGCTGCAACAGCAAGTTGATCTGTGACTTTGGGCAAATCCACTCAGCGCCAGACTGCCAAGAGAAAACGGCGGTCTCCGCCGTCCAAGCAGCACATCGTGGAGGGCCTACACACCCCGATGTTCTGGGGGAGCACTTACATCTTCAGCAATGCCTGTCAAGATGGAGACAGACTCCTGTGCTGAGGTTGCAGGGTTGCACTCTGAAAAGACACCCAGGGCAGCACTCCAGGCAGGCTGCATGCTCCGGGGAGACACAGATGGCAAGGAGCAGGGCAGCGGGCGGCCTGGAGGTACAGCTACACCAGCTCTGGGGTTCCACGCTCTGATCTGACTTAGCTGTTTTCCACCCTAACCCCATGTGAGACAGCCACTGCCCCAAAACTAGGGATGGGAACCAAAACCTTTGAGAAGCCCACGTGGGACATGGGATGGCCTGTGACCCATCAGCTCCCGGGCCATCCCTTTGGGTTCAGCCACAGGCTGGGGGTGGGAGGTGGTGCCAGGACACTGTGGGCATCGCCTTGGGCTGAAAAAGGGGGCTGTGAGGAACTCATACACCTGAGTCCTCGTCCTAAGAAGTCGCAGTTGTTGGGTGGGCCATGGCCACGAAGACTCTGCGGGAACACTGCCTGGTCACACAGACTCTGCAGGAACACTGCCTGGCCACGTAGACTCTGCAGGAACACTGCCTGGCCACATAGACTCTGCAGGAACACTGCCTGGTCACACAGACTCTGCAGGAACACTGCCTGGCCACACAGACTCTGCAGGAACACTGCCTGGCCACGTAGACTCTGCAGGAACACTGCCTGGCCACGTAGACTCTGCAGGAACACTGCCTGGCCACGTAGACTCTGCGGGAACACTGCCTGGTCACACAGACTCTGCAGGAACACTGCCTGGCCACGTAGACTCTGCAGGAACACTGCCTGGCCACGTAGACTCTGCGGGAACACTGCCTGGTCACACAGACTCTGCAGGAACACTGCCTGGCCACGTAGACTCTGAGGGAACACTGCCTGGCCACGTAGACTCTGCGGGAACACTGCCTGGTCACACAGACTCTGCGGGAACACTGCCTGGCCACGTAGACTCTGCGGGAACACTGCCTGGTCACACAGACTCTGCGGGAACACTGCCTGGCCACGTAGACTCTGCAGGAACACTGCCTGGCCACGTAGACTCTGCGGGAACACTGCCTGGCCACGTAGACTCTGCGGGAACACTGCCTGGCCACGTAGACTCTGCGGGAACACTGCCTGGCCACGTAGACTCTGCGGGAACACTGCCTGGCCACGTAGACTCTGCGGGAACACTGCCTGGCCACGTAGACTCTGAGGGAACACTGCCTGGCCACGTAGACTCTGCGGGAACACTGCCTGGCCACGTAGACTCTGCGGGAACACTGCCTGGCCACGTAGACTCTGCAGGAACACTGCCTGGCCACTTAGACTCTGCAGGAACACTGCTGTTACCTCTCACTGCACGGGGACTCACAGACACAAAGATGGTCATTCACAGCATCACCAAAATCGATCCACGAGGCTTTGAGAAAATGCATCTCTAAAAAAAGCACATTTGGTGGGTCCAACAAGCCTCACTTATTCACGGTCCTGAACTCAGTGCATGGAGGCAAGAGGCATGTCGGTGACCCAGTGAGGGAACAACTGCACATCTGGGGCAACAGCCTGATGGTGCCGTGGGAGCCACGGGTGGGTATCCTGCAAACATCAGCTTGGACACTCAGCACCTGCATGGGACATGCATCGCCACAAGGTCACAGGTGGGCACCTGGGTGCTGCAGGGTCAGCTGACTTAGTCAAAGGCTAAGCCTGCAGTGAGTGTCCGAGCCTGCAATTGACCGCGGAAGCCAGTGCCCTCCCTAGTTGGCAACGTTGTTCAGCTGAGCTACAGAGAAAGAGCTCGGAGGTCTATGGACTCCTTCATGGAAATCGCTCCCTTGCGTCTCCTCATGTGGACACAGCTCCACGCCTCACCTCTCAGGCCAGGCAGCGGCCAACCCAGCCTCTTCACCAGGTATGGGCACCGGCTGCTCCTTGCTGCAGGACCGCTGGCTGGGGTGGCCGGGGCACGCAGCAGGCACATCCCGACCTGCGGGCCAGCACCTGCGCCCCATCCCTGTTACACCTGTTCTGAAGCCTTCAAGAGCAAAGACTGATGTTCATCATGGCCAAAGCAGCTGGGCTCTTTACTACGGAAGGAGATTAATTGCTACCCCGCGTACCTTTCAGAGGTTTATATGAAGCCATTTTTCGGTATTTCTCTAAGTGACTGAAACATGCGCAGCCATTTCATGTATTTCTACGCGTGTGGGCAGGCGGCCAGGGCCCTGGGCCACATTCCCCAGAAAGCCACGTCTCCACTCTGGGGAGGGGAATGCTTCGTTTTTCTGTGAGTGGTGAGGTCTCTCTTTTAACCTGTTATAAATTACCTTTTGTAATCTCTCCTAAACCATTATATAGAGGAGGGAGGGGAGACAAAGAATAAATACATCTGTAATAAATGTGGGATTTGGGAAAGATGATAAGATCAGAACAATTTGAATGAACGTGGCAAATGAATTTAGAGTTTTTGAACTATCAGCTATTTCTGCAAATAATGACTTGTAGAAGGAGAGGCTATTTTTAAAACAATTCATGTTCTCTGCTTTCATGTGAAGGAAATAAAACAAGGCACTCATGAATGAGCTCTTCAAGCACGGACTTTCCTGGAGCTCACAGGAAGGGGCCAGCACAGGTCAGGCTGGAGGCACAGTCTGATTCTACGGTGGCTTCACAGGGCGTGTTTGGAGAGCGCCTTCCTCCTCCCAACCCTGCAGTCCCCGGCCTGGCTCCAGGTCTGCCCCGCAGCCCTGAGGTGAGTCTCAGCATGTCCAGGCGTCTGAGGTGACACTGCAGCCTCTCTCCGTGGCCCTGTGGTGAGTCTCAGCATGTCCAGGCATCTGAGGTGACACTGCAGCCTCTCTCGGTGGCCCCGTGGTGAGTCTCAGCATGTCCAGGCATCCGCGGTGACACTGCAGCCACTCTCCATGGCCCCAGGGTGAGTCTCAGCACGTCCAGGCGTCCGCGGTGACACTGCAGCCACTCTCCATGGCCCCGGGGTGAGTCTCAGCACGTCCAGGCGTCCGCGGTGACACTGCAGCCACTCTTGGTTTCTCAGCTGCCGCAATCGGTCCTTCCAGTGTCCGACCTCTGGGGCCCTCAGACCCCCAAACCCACCTTGTCGCTGTGGCCTCTCCGCCTCCTGCAGGTGGCAGCGCTACTGTAGCCTGCCATGCCCCACCCCTTGCCTCCATCCCCACACATTGCCCTGTTTCTTGGGCAGCCATCTTCTGGACCTCTCCCTCCTGCAGGCGTCTCTGGCCCTGGGGGCTCCAGGAGGGGGTCTCCCCAGGAGCGTGTTCCCCAGTGCATGGCCCCTGTCCTCCAACACCTGCTCAGGCCTGCAGCCAAACCCACATCTCCCATTCCTGCCTCTCCTGAGCAGGAAGCCCCATGAGAGGGTCCCTTTACAATTCGTCCAGGCTGGCCCTGGGCCCTGTGTGGCCGCAGGTGGTCACGGAAGCCCCACCTGAGCTTCCAGGCCCCTCGTGCCAGGACTTCTGAAGGTTGTGCCTGACTCACGTCTCCATTCTCGACCCATTAAAGGGGGAGCGGAGATCGTGCTTCCCAAGGGACCCTGAGGCCTTCTCTCTAGGTCTGAGAAGTGGGAAGTCCCCCATTGGGAGTGGAAGGCCAAGGCCACAGCACTGCCGTCATGCGCTCCAGAGAAAGGTCACCTGCCACCCTTCTGTGTGCTTACATGTCTGTCAGGACAGCCCGGCTCCGGCCATGCCCTTTGCACATCCCGGCCTCCTGGGAACGCGGAGAACTTCGTGCCTGCTGTCCAGTTCTTGGCATCCGGGAGCTCCAGCTGGCATGAAGGCAGAAAGAATAACAGCCAGTGGCAGTGGAAGGCATGAGCGCCCCCGGAGAGCAGGGCCAGACCATCAGCAGGGCCCCTCCAAGAGGAGCTCTGTATGCCGGGGGAGTGGGCTCGGCCCGCGGGACAAGGCTGAAAGAGCTCCCCAGACCCCTCTCTGAAGACAGCCTCTGCAATCTCCGGCCTTCCCGCAGTTGCCCGCGTACTTTCTTCATTCCTCAAAGGTCTCATTAATTTACAGTCTAAGTGGACCAAGAGAGATGTTACATATGTTACCAGGAAGCTAGCATGTTCATTAATTAATTTCTGTCTAGTCATCCAATATTTATTGAGTCCTTAAGTCTGAGGCATTATAATAGTTACTGCTGTGGGGTCATACAGATAAATAAGACATGGTTCCTATTTCTCAGACTCATCACCCACTGGTAAGACAGCCACCGATGGAAACGACTCCAATCGACTGGAAAATAGAGAGGAAATTCCTTTGGAATTTAGGGGAAAGAATAAGACTTTTGGCTGGGGTGTCAGATATTCGCTTATAGGAGCAATTTCTTCTCAGCTGCATGGCACCACCAGGGACCAGGCCCCGGGGCCAGTCCAGATATCTGCAGTGTTAGCGAGAGACGCTGTTGACCCTTCTTGGCTTATCATGGAACTGAATTTCCTTAGGTTCAGTTGGTAGCTACCCTCGCCCCATCATGCCGCGGTGACACTGCAGCCACTCTTGGTTTCTCGGCTGCCGCAATCGGTCATTCCAATGTCCGACCTCTGGGGCCCTCAGACCCCCAAACCCACCTTGTCACTCTGGCTTCTCCGCCTCCTGCAGCTCCTGCTCTGTGTTTGGGAACGCGTGCGGCCCACAGGACAAAGCCTTGTTGCACACCCGGGTCAAGGGCAAATCCCAGCTGCACAGCCGGGTGATCCAGCGGCCGACCCTGCTTCCCTGCGTAGGAGGCCTGAGCCAAGGACACTGCGGCCCCGGCTGCACCGATGCATGGGTGTGCACGCGGGGACCGAGGGAGTCACGTGAATCATGTGGCTTCCACGAGCTACCTCTTCCCACACCAGGAGCAGGTGCCCTCGTCTCCATCAAGCGCTTTCTGGGGAGAAACTCCTTCAAGGATAACGGCAAATGGTGAGCGTGCCTCACTCTTTATAATAGAAATTACAAAAAGATGGAGAAACAGGCAGAATCCCACCCATTCCTGTGGCAAAGCCGAGACCCTCATTTCCAGTCTTTCTGGGACAGCGGAGCCCTGGGCAGGGGACACCGTGTGACTGGCTCTAGCTCTCCTAAAACACGGGACGCAGGAGTGTTTCTTAAGTGTGACAAGGTGAAAGCCCCTCGCGAGTTGAGGAAGGTCTCATTACTTCTGACAGAGGCCCCATGTTGGGGAGGTAGGTGTGGGGGCTCGGGGAGGTGTCAGGACAGCGGGATGGACGTGGGTCCACAGAGCTGACTATCACAGCCGCTCAGGATGCAGCCGTGGTGTGTGTGCTCTGGCCTATTTTAGGTACAGATATAAAACAGAAGACTTCGGGGCAAAAGGAAGTCTTAGAAAAATATAAAGGAATAGAAAGAAACAGCTGTTCCCCGGCACAGAAAATTCCTGCTAAGAACACACAACGGGCACGGTGTAGGCCCATTAGTGTTGCTCTGGGTGCCGCATCCACAAGGGAGATTTGCTTCTTCAGAAATGTCAGGGGTGCCTGGTCTGCAAGGGGCTTCCCTCGTCGGAAAGTCTCCCATCCACATCCCTTCATGTGCCATGTTCGCATCATGAGCAATGTTGTAATGAACAGCCACGCACTTCATTCTTTGCACATCTCAAAGAATTGTGTCCTTAGGATGAAGTGTCAGGGGACGAGTGTCCATGCCAAAGCATCTCCACACGTCGAGAGCTTCGGATGTGCGCAGCTGCGTTGCCTCCTGACCGTCAGCCGAGCCCAGCGTCCCACCAGCAGGAGCCACAGCACCGCTGTCTGTTCCCACCAATGCCCAGTGTCAGCGTCCACTGAGTCGCAGCTCCCCTCTACACTGGGTGTGCCCGAGCTTGCTGCATGGGAGGAAGGTGGCTGATGGCAAGGGTGTGTGTCTCGACACTGTGGCTGCAGCACGGTTTCCTCACAGATGTTTGGGGAGAGGCTGAGAGGACCTGCCTGCCCTGGAGAGCCGGGTTTCTGCCTAGGGCTCCTCCTGTGCTCCTGCTCCCACCCCAGGGGCCTGGGGCTCCCGCTGGAGGATGGTGGCTTTGCAGACCCTTCCATTTTATTCATCGTGTTACAGAGCATTCTAAACCTCCTTCCTTCTAGAGTAGAGGCTCAGGGGTTAAGGGATATGTGTCTTCAAACGAGAACACTTCATTCAACAGACTTTTCCCGAAGACCACGTGCTGTGCGCAGCCTGACATGTGGTGCTCGGCCGCAAAAGCGCTTCAGTCTCGCCCCCCACCCCCGGAGCAGCCACCAACCAAGAAACATTGTCTGTATCTGGCAGCATTTGGTCCCTGTCATGAGGTTACAGTGAGCCCCTGGCCCCCACCCTCACGTGTCTGTGAGGTCAGCTCCCCACGCCCTGGTCCTCCCCACCTGCGAGGAGGCTCGTGGCACCCACTTCACGGCTGGTGGGAAGACGGGTGAGACCACGTGTGCCATGTGCCTCATATGCTGCCTGGCATATTTTGGGTGCTCACGAATGCTGACTGCAGCCTGGCATTGGGAAGGGAGTGATCCCGCCAGGGAGGGGAGGCCTGACAGAAGACATGGTCTCTCAGGGGGGGTCCTGATGTCATGTCAGATGGAGCCAGGGCCAGGGGCAGGGCGGGGGTGCAGGGGCTCTCGAGGCAGAACCTGGGACCCAGCGCCCATGTCGGTGCAGTTGGGAAAGGTGCGTGGCTCCCGTGGGTGGTGCAGACGAGCAGTGAATGAAGATGAAGCTGGAGTGGCAGCTTGGCCCAGATCCTGGAGGCTTTGCGTTTGCACTGAAATGTGTGGACTTGACGCCAGAAGCAACTCCTGCGTGGCCCGAGTGTGGGCCTGGGCGGCCCTCCATTCCTCGGCAGGGCACTGCCTATCGCAGCATCCAGGTGCAGCCGGGGGGGACAGGGGTGAGGAGGGAAGGAGGCATGAGTGCCAGCCTCCCCACACCTGGGAGAGCAGCCTAGAGAGGAGTAGAGGGCAGCAGGGGCCCAGTCTGTCATCCAGAGAGGCAAGGGAGAAGGCAGGGGTGAGCGAGGCGGTGCAGGGTGGGGCTCTGCTCCCACGGGTTCGATGTGGGGCCATGCTTGGTGGTGGGGCCAGGCTGTGTCACCTGTGAGGTCACCCCTGTTCCTGGCACCTGGTAGGTCACTGAATCAACAGCCCACCGCCAGCAGGGCAGGGCGATGCATTTTGCGTCCCTGGCTCAACTGCAGAGTTTCGTTACCATTTCCCGGAAACCCAGACTCTCACCAATGCAGATGGTCTCCTAGCTATTTTTAATGAGGGAAGATTTGTTGGAAGCACAAAATTGAATTAAGTCACATTCAGAAATTCTCCTTCAAAGAGGAACTCACACAGTCAAGCTGAGAAAGCCAGCATCTGAGGATAGCGGAGCTGCTCTGTGGTGAACATAGAATGTGGGGCCCTGACGGACTGTCCCCTTGCCCTGACGCCTCTCCTGGCCTCTGCCCCCACACTCTGGCACCAGAATGTCCACAGGGACAGCTCTGGTCTGGCCTGGCCTGAGCTGCAGGCTCTCCTGTCACAGCACTGGCTGAATGCCTCCCCTGGTGTCCCCTGGCCTTTCCCCGGCTGGCCACCTGTCCCCCACTGAGCTCACGGCTTCTCCCTGAACCAGCTTCTACTCCAGTCCCAAACCAGCTCCACACTGTGGCTCTCGGCCCCGTGCCCCTCTCCCCACACCAGCATGTCACTGCGCTCGCCGGCTGTGTTCCCAAGCACTTTCTCCCTCCTCTCCTTTCTCTACCACAGCCCAGGCCTTCCTCACCTCATGCTCCTCACCCATCCACCTGTCCATCCTTGTCCCCGGAGACGCTGTCATCCCACCCAAGTGACCTGCCAGCCACTGTGGAAGTTCTATGCACTGCAGATGTTAAACGTGAGGCTTTTTCCTACTCAGGGATGTGCAGTCAAATTGGTGCTCAGATGGAGTCTGATGAAAGGCAAGCTCTGGAAGGAACACGGACCCTGAGCAAGTGTGAGAGACGTAAGCCAGCAATGAAGCCATGCCCCAAAGCGAATCCACCACCATCCAATTCCCGCTCATACACAGCAGGCCAGAAAGACTTCCACGCTGCACACAACGCTCAGAGCAGAACGTCTGGGAATCAATCTATCCAAATTTGATTTAATTTATGTGGAATTTAGAGACCTGAGACCTGTTGATTTATGTAGAATTTAGGCTTCCCCCGTCTGAATCGCGCTGGTGTATCTGGAATTTAGGCTTCCCCCGTCTGAATTGTGCTGGTGTATCTGGAATTTAGGCTTCCCCCGTCTGAAGTGTGCTGGTGTGGGTGGAATTTAGGCTTCCCCCATCTGAATCGCGCTGGTGTATCTGGAATTTAGGCTTCCCTCGTCTGAATTGTGCTGGTGTGGGTGGAATTTAGGCTTCCCC
This sequence comes from Homo sapiens, assembly GCF_000001405.40. NCBI lineage: Eukaryota > Metazoa > Chordata > Mammalia > Primates > Hominidae > Homo > Homo sapiens. The sequence continues at coordinate 26,667 of NT_187563.1, forward strand.
CGTCTGAATTGCGCTGGTTTACGTGACATTTAGGCTACCCCCACCTGAAACACATTTATTTGCAGACGCTTGCTTACAAATAGCAGCCTGAAACTGTTCATTTTCTCTTGTAATTCACAAATAAAACAGGAATTACGAACATAAAACTTCTATAATCAAACGGGTAAGGATATTAGCCATCAGGTCACTGAAAGCTTTGTTTGTCTATTATTGGAGCCAATTTCCTGGTTAAATTTACTTTACATTTTGATATGTATTCAGTTCTCAGATAAACACACTATGGAGGTTCCTCAGTGTATGATGGGGTTACATCATGGGGTTACATCCCAATGAACCCGGTGCAAGTCGAAATGTGCTAGGTTAGAGACGTACTGGATCCATATAACCTGCTGAGCATCACAGCTCAGCCCAGCCTGCCTTACGTGTGCTCAGAACACTCATGCAAGCCTGCAGCTGGGCGAAACCATCTCTCACAAAGCCTGTTTATGATAAAGTGCTGAAGATATCAGGCCATTTCTTGACTACTGCCCTGAAAGTGAATAACAGCGTAGTTGGGTGAGCACTCAGAGTACAGTTTCACACCACTGTAAAGTGAGAAATACTAAGTCCAACCATCCTGAGGCGGGGACCATCTGTGTATTGTTGAGTCTGCTTTCCATGAATCATGCTTCTTCTTACATGATAAATTTAAAGTAAATTAAAAGGCATGCATTACATGTTAAATGGGACAGAGTCAATATCTGGCTTGAAATATTATCAATATTTTAAAGATAATATTAACTAAATTTTATAACCTTAAAAATGTACTGATCTGAAATAAAATTCTCGTGTCCTTAAAAATAACCTGCTTTTTCCCATACTAAACAAAAATAAACTGACTTTTAAAAAACCTGTGGGGGAAAGGACGGTTTCCTCAACAGGTGGTTCTGGGAGAACTGGATATCTACACGCAGAGGAGTGAGCCAGACCCTCGCCTCCCAGGAGAACTGGATATCCACACGCAGAGGACTGCGGCCAGACCCTCGCCTCCCAGGAGAACTGGATATCCACATGCAGAGGAGTGAGCCAGACCCTGGCCTCCCAGGAGAACTGGATACCTACACCCAGAGGAGTGTGGCCAGACCCTCGCCTCCCAGGAGAACTGGATATCTACACACAGAGGAGTGAGCCAGACCCTCGCCTCCCAGGAGAACTGGATATCTACACGCAGAGGAGTGAGCCAGACCCTCACCTCCCAGGAGAACTGGATATCCACACGCAGAGGACGGCGGCCAGACCCTCACCTCCCAGGAGAACTGGATATCCACACGCAGAGGAGTGAGCCAGACCCTCGCCTCCCAGGAGAACTGGATATCCACACGCAGAGGAGTGAACCAGACCCTCGCCTCCCAGGAGAACTGGATATCCACACGCAGAGGAGTGAGCCAGACCCTCGCCTCCCAGGAGAACTGGATATCCACATGCAGAGGAGTGAGCCAGACCCTCACCTCCCAGGAGAACTGGATATCCACACGCAGAGGAGTGAGCCAGACCCTCGCCTCCCAGGAGAACTGGATACCTACACCCAGAGGAGTGTGGCCATACCCTCGCCTCCCAGGAGAACTGGATATCTACACACAGAGGAGTGAGCCAGACCCTCGCCTCCCAGGAGAACTGGATATCTACACACAGAGGAGTGAGCCAGACCCTCGCCTCCCAGGAGAACTGGATATCCACATGCAGAGGAGTGAGCCAGACCCTCACCTCCCAGGAGAACTGGATATCCACACGCAGAGGACGGCGGCCAGACCCTCACCTCCCAGGAGAACTGGATATCCACACGCAGAGGAGTGAGCCAGACCCTCGCCTCCCAGGAGAACTGGATATCTACACGCAGAGGAGTGAGCCAGACCCTCGCCTCCCAGGAGAACTGGATATCCACATGCATAGGAGTGAGCCAGACCCTCACCTCCCAGGAGAACTGGATATCCACACGCAGAGGACGGCGGCCAGACCCTCACCTCCCAGGAGAACTGGATATCCACATGCAGAGGAGTGAGCCAGACCCTCACCTCCCAGGAGAACTGGATATCCACACGCAGAGGACGGCGGCCAGACCCTCACCTCCCAGGAGAACTGGATATCCACACGCAGAGGAGTGAGCCAGACCCTCGCCTCCCAGGAGAACTGGATATCCACACGCAGAGGAGTGAACCAGACCCTCGCCTCCCAGGAGAACTGGATATCCACACGCAGAGGAGTGAGCCAGACCCTCGCCTCCCAGGAGAACTGGATATCTACACGCAGAGGAGTGAGCCAGACCCTCGCCTCCCAGGAGAACTGGATACCTACACCCAGAGGAGTGTGGCCATACCCTCGCCTCCCAGGAGAACTGGATATCTACACACAGAGGAGTGAGCCAGACCCTCGCCTCCCAGGAGAACTGGATATCTACACACAGAGGAGTGAGCCAGACCCTCGCCTCCCAGGAGAACTGGATATCCACATGCAGAGGAGTGAGCCAGACCCTCACCTCCCAGGAGAACTGGATATCCACACGCAGAGGACGGCGGCCAGACCCTCACCTCCCAGGAGAACTGGATATCCACACGCAGAGGAGTGAGCCAGACCCTCGCCTCCCAGGAGAACTGGATATCTACACGCAGAGGAGTGAGCCAGACCCTCGCCTCCCAGGAGAACTGGATATCCACATGCATAGGAGTGAGCCAGACCCTCACCTCCCAGGAGAACTGGATATCCACACGCAGAGGACGGCGGCCAGACCCTCACCTCCCAGGAGAACTGGATATCCACATGCAGAGGAGTGAGCCAGACCCTCACCTCCCAGGAGAACTGGATATCCACACGCAGAGGACGGCGGCCAGACCCTCACCTCCCAGGAGAACTGGATATCCACACGCAGAGGAGTGAGCCAGACCCTCGCCTCCCAGGAGAACTGGATATCCACACGCAGAGGAGTGAACCAGACCCTCGCCTCCCAGGAGAACTGGATATCCACACGCAGAGGAGTGAGCCAGACCCTCGCCTCCCAGGAGAACTGGATATCCACATGCAGAGGAGTGAGCCAGACCCTCGCCTCCCAGGAGAACTGGATATCCACACGCAGAGGAGTGTGGCCAGACCCTCGCCTCCCAGGAGAACTGGATATCCACACGCAGAGGAGTGTGGCCAGACCCTCACCTCCCAGGAAAACTGGATATCCACATGCAGAGGAATGAGCCAGACTCTCGCCTCCCAGGAAAACTGGATATCCACATGCAGAGGAATGAGCCAGACTCTCGCCTCCCAGGAGAACTGGATATCCACACGCAGAGGAGTGTGGCCAGACCCTCACCTCCCAGGAAAACTGGATATCCACATGCAGAGGAATGAGCCAGACCCTCGCCTCCCAGGAGAACTGGATATCCACACGCAGAGGAGTGTGGCCATACCCTCGCCTCCCAGGAGAACTGGATATCCACACGCAGAGGAGTGTGGCCAGACCCTCGCCTCCCAGGAAAACTGGATATCCACACGCAGAGGAGTGAGCCAGACCGTCACCTCCCACCCGAGCGTGCGCTGACTCACAGCGAATAGCAGAGTGGCTGGACGCACACTTGGCCAGAACATACATGAACTCAGAGCTAAATGTGAGACCTAAAACATACAGGGCAAGACCTTTATGACATTGGATTTGGCCACGATTTCCTGGATATAACACCAAAAACACAGGCACAAAAGAAAAAAATAGATAAATTGGGTTTGATGACACTGAAAACGTTTGTGCGTCAAAGCGCACCATCCAGAGAGCGAAAAGACAACCCATATAAAGGGGGAAAAGATTTGCGAATCAAATTGCAGTGGGGGATTAATATCCAGAACATGTAGGAAACTTCCACAACTCAACTACAATAACGATGGAAAACCATCTCGTTCAGAAAACACAAAGTACTTGAACACATGTTTCTCCAAAGAAGACACACAAATGACCTCAGGCACAGGCAGAGGCGCTTGGCGTCACCAAAATCATTGGGGAAGCATGATTCCTCAGTGCAATTCCACCTCATGCCATGTGCGTGACTCTTACCGAAAAAAACAGAAAGTAACAGGTGCTGGTGAGAAGGCAGAGAGATGGGAACACTGCGCTATTGCAGCAGCTAGGGAGAACAGGGTGGCGGTTCCTCGGAGTTAGAAATGGAATTCCCATAGGAGCCGGCAGCCCTATGTCTGGGTGTCCATGGAGAACAACTGAAAGCAGGGTCTTGAAGAGGTATTTGCACGCCAGGTTCACAGCAACTTTATGACAGCAGCCAAAGGGTGGATGCAAGGCCAGCATCTGTGGACGGATGGACAGAGGAGCAAAATGTGGTCCATCCACACTGACAGATGTCACCAGCCCTAAGAGGAGGGGGTGCAGACATATGGCATAACATGGGGAGTCCTGAGGACATGTGCCCAGTGAAATAAGCCAGTCACCAAAGGACACATACAGCACAACACAGGGAACCCTGGGGACACTGCCCAGTGAAAGAAGCCATCACTAGAGGACACAGACTGTGTGATTCCACTTGTGTGAGGTCCCTGGAGTCATCAAACTCAGAGACAGAGGGTAGAGTGGGCTGCCGGGGTGGGGGGAGGAACAGGGGTCAGTGTTTACTGGGGACAGAGTTCCAGTTTGGGATGATGGAAGGTTCTGGAAATGGGTGGTGGAGATGCTCGCACAACGTTGTGAACACATACAATGCTAAGAGGCGTGCACCTAAAAACGGTTAGGACGATCCATTTTCTGTTTTGTGTCGTTTACGTAACTATGAGATTCTGTATTACTGAGAAAAAGGCTTGAGAGAACCAGAAGTGTCACGTAAAGTGTGAGGCGTGAGCCGTGAGCAGTGATTGAGCCCAGACCCCCGCGACCAGCTCTGCTGCTGGCCCTGCCTGAAGCTGCAGCAGCCCCTGCCCTTGGACCCCTGAGTCTGTGGGGCCTGCACTGCTGCATCTCTGGCTGCCCTGTGCCCAGAAACCCACCCTCCATCCTTCCACACTCAGAGCCTCCTCCCAGCTGAGCACCCTCCCCTCTGCTATGGGGCATCTGTGGGCCCCCCAGCTCCCACCCTGCAGACGTCTGTGGGCTCTGCCTCTCCCGTCTACACCTGGAGGCCCAGAGGGGCTCCTGAGGGCCACCTGGTGCCCGGTGGGTACCCAGCGAGGGTCTGGCAAGGAGGTCAGCTCAGCTGGGCAGACACATGCAGCCCGGAGGCCTGGGGTGTCCGGGTCCCACGAAGCCAGGAGAACACAGATGGGGCCGACTCTGCCGCGCGGTCTCCTCACTGTGCTTCCTGCAATCATGCCTTGTACAGCCTCCTGACAGGCCACCCTCAGCCCCATGTGGCCAGCAGCAAGGGCTGCTGTTGCACCCCAAGCCTCTCCGTCTAGGGGAAGAAGGCGCGTGAAGATCTTTCTCAGAAAGGACAAGCCCACAGCATCTGCGTCGGTGCCTCCTGCCTCTGACAGGGCTCCTGGCGCCCATGGCGGCTGGGGTTTCACGGGGGCGAGGGGCTGGGCCACACTTGTCTGCATCCCGGGGCCCTTGGTTCAGTGGACAAAACAGCTTTAAAGTTCAAGGATAACTCAAATTGGATTTTAGAAATACAAAGTCTTAAAACATTTGTACCAGACTAAGGGATTACACTCTTATCTTATCCACAGAAAGGCTTTTGAAGAGGTGGGGAAAGGTAGCTCAGATTTTAAATTGGGGCCTCAAAACCTGCCTGTCTGCGGCTCCTTCCTTTGCCTGGCTGCTATTATCAAAAGGTAAAATGTCTTAGACTATTGAAAAAAGGATTTGCATAAATTGCTTTTACCTGCTTCTTATATGAGGTTAATGAAATTGGAACAAAAAGGAATGAATTCCCAATCCCAGACCAGAACCTCAAATCCCCCAGAAGAGACTTCCATGAGCCCCACTGAGCCCAGGCATGGAGAACTCTTTCTCTGGGTCCAGGAGTGGCACCACCTTAATCAGCTCTCCTCATAAATGTCCCAAGGAGACCAGGAAACAGCCTCGAGGGAGACGGCGCTGACCCGGGGCCAGGGGAGTTTGGCTCACGTGATCCAGTCACACAGAGGTCGGTCGTTGTCTGGACACAGACAATGGGAATCTGGGCTGATACCGGGCCTTTGAAAATAGTCGGGGAGGAAAACAGAAAAGATGCAGAAGTTGATAATTGCTTTGATATACCCATCTCTGTTTTTTTTTTTGGACAGAATTCCTATTAAATACAATATAGAGTATTTCATTTTCTGCATCTGCCCATCTTTGAATCTTCATGTATTTTTTAAAAAGAATGAATTTAAAACTCTAATCCACTTGGCCCAGATTTGTTTTGGGAGGCAGGTGGGAACCCATGAGCTGTCTTGAGCACAGTGGCTGGAGTCTGTGCGGTGGCTGGAACCCTGGGCTCTGGAGGGCTGGATGCCTTCAGGTCCCGGAACCCCAACTCTGCTCCCGTGGACAGCTCCATCTTCAGCAGCTCCGTGCATAGGGACTCCTGGGAAGACTTCTCTTTGAGGAAATGTTTCCGCTGCTAAAATGCAAAGTTCCCCGAAGGCAGGTGGGCACTGTGCTGGTGCTGTCCGAGTGGAGCCTCTGGTGAGCCGGACACCATCAAACAACATCAGAGCTTGCAAAAGGAGCTCTGCAGTGCCTGAGACCTGCAAAGGGCCATCCTGGGGTCCGAGGGCTTCCTGGTCCTGACCCAGTCCTGCAGGGAGGTCCTGGGAGGGTCGCTAGGGTGAGGACGCTGAGAGCCCATGTGCTGGAAAGGACCCAGGAAGAGGGCTGAGGTCTCACGCCTGGCAGAGATGGTGCCCAGGTAGTGACTGCACCACACCCATAAGGGCCACCTGCTGGCCACGTGGAGGACGGGGAGCGGCAGGCGGATGAGGGAAGGACCGTCCATTTGACTGGGCCACAGGTGTTTAGATTAAACCTGATCCACGTGTGTCTGTGAGTGTGACTCGGAGGAGTCCAGCATTGGATTCAGTGGGCCAGGAACAGGGCATTCTTCTCTCCAGGGAGCAGAAACCACAAGATAGACATGGCCCATTGTGCTCGAGGGTCACTTTCATTGGAAGATTTAGAGAAAATGATTTTTATACAATAACGATATGGGCTTATAGGGTAAAGTCCACATTCGCATAAAATTTTAACCAAGTAGGGACAGAGCCTGGCAATTCTGGGTTCTGAGACCCCTGGGGATGGCACCTGAGTCCCACTCAGGCCACCACCCCTGCCCCCCCCCCGGGCACTCGGGGTGAAGCTGTGTCACTGTGGCTGGACACATGTCCTGGAATCAGAGTTGCTCTTTAACTGTGTCTGGCTTTAAGGCTCGTCTTCTACGCCAGACAAAGTAAACTTCCTGGAACTGTTTTTTGAAATGTGGCTACTGTCCTTTCCTCTTCTAGAAAAACGAGGATGAGGAGCCAAAACAGAGGAGGGTGTCGCAAGCGGCAGACATTTGAAAGCAGCTTAAGCCCCTGAGCCCCCTTTCTGGGGTTCCTGGGCAAGAGGTCGCACGCCTGGCCGAGGTGGTGCCCCAGGGGTGACAGCGGTTGCCCTCCTGTATGGCACAACTGAAAATAAAGGCTGGGCCATTTCCCCCTCCATCTGCCAAAATCCCATTACTGAGGTTGTCAAAATGCTTCAACCTCTCTTAAAATGCAGTGAGATTGCTTCACGATGAAGGGTATGACCAAGTGGAATTGTACACGGTATAGTTAGGAGGTGATGATGACCACAGTGGGGTCTTTAAAACAGTGCACGGCCCGCCTAGGGGACAGAGCCGGCCCTCCCAACACTTCCCCGCTACAGAGGCGTTCTGTGGCCCCGGGGCTGCTCCCCGCCTGGGCACATGGCGGAGACATGCAAGCCACAGGGGAGGGCTCTGACCTCGGCGTGGCTCCCGCCAGGGACCTGGCAGCTCTTCCGCTTGTTCTCTCTCTCATTCCTCATGGGGACTGCACTAGGACTTTCCCCTTCTCCCCAACTCCCCACCCAATGCCCCCTCTTTTGTGGCAGGTGAGCTCACGTCCTGCTCTGAAGAGAAAATGGAGGTGCCACACGTGGTCTCCTGAACTCCCAGCCCTGGACGAGGGGGTCCTGTCTCATTCAAGTAAACCCCCTGCAGTTCCCAGCAGCCTTAGGACAGCAGGCTCCTTTACGACTTCACCTCTGCGCTGCCCCCACTGAGAAGCTCCTGCTAACCTCGTCCAGTTGTCAAATCACTTCTTAGCATGCAAAACCTTGCCCGCATATCAGCTGCTCTGCCAAGCCCACCCTGAGTTCCGAGGAAGGTAATCGAGGTGCCTTCCTGAAGGTCTGCACCAGGCAGAAAGCCCTGTTACAGCCTAGTTGCATCGTGTGACAACTGCCTGCTCATAATGTGAACTCTGCGGTGACTAGAACCGTATCTGGCATATGGCAGACATTCAGTACAAAACCCATGGACAGAACAAATAAGTAAGTCCAGAGGTCTCCCTGGGGACAGGGCCTGTGTTACTCTTCCTTCCCACGCGCCCAGCACAGTTACCCTTTCCCGTCCCATGCTCCCAGCACAGTTACCCTTTCCCGTCCCATGCGCCCAGCACAGTTACCCTTTCCCGTCCCATGCGCCCAGCACAGTTACCCTTTTCCGTCCCATGCGCCCAGCACAGTTACCCTTTCCCGTCCCATGCGCCCAGCACAGTTACTCTTTTCCATCCCATGCGCCCAGCACAGTTACCCTTTTCCGCCCCATGCGCCCAGCACAGTTACCCTTTTCCGCCCCATGCGCCCAGCACAGTTACTCTTTTCCACCCCATGCGCCCAGCACAGTTACCCTTTTCCGCCCCATGCGCCCAGCACAGTTACCCTTTTCCGTCCCATGCGCCCAGCACAGTTACTCTTTTCCACCCCATGCGCCCAGCACAGTTACCCTTTCCCGTCCCATGCGCCCAGCACAGTTACTCTTCCGTCCCACGCGCCCAGCACAGTTACCCTTCCACCCCATGCGCCCAGCACAGTTACCCTGTCCCGTCCCATGCGCCCAGCACAGTTACTCTTCCGTCCCACGCGCCCAGCACAGTTACTCTTTTCCATCCCATGCCCCCAGCACAGTTACCCTTCCACCCCATGCGCCCAGCACAGTTACCCTTTCCCGTCCCATGCGCCCAGCACAGTTACTCTTCCGTCCCACGCGCCCAGCACAGTTACTCTTTTCCACCCCATGCGCCCAGCACAGTTACCCTGTCCCGTCCCATGCGCCCAGCACAGTTACCCTTTCCCGTCCCATGGCCCAGCACAGTTACCCTTTTCCGCCCCATGGCCCAGCACAGTTACTCTTTTCCGCCCCATGCGCCCAGCACAGTTACCCTTTCCCGTCCCATGCGCCCAGCACAGTTACCCTTTTCCGCCCCATGCGCCCAGCACAGTTACTCTTTCCCGTCCCACGCGCCCAGCACAGTTACCCTTTCCCGTCCCACGCGCCCAGCACAGTTACCCTTTCCCGTCCCACGCGCCCAGCACAGTTACCCTTTCCCGTCCCACGCGCCCAGCACAGTTACCCTTTCCCGTCCCACGCGCCCAGCACAGTTACCCTTTCCCGTCCCACGCGCCCAGCACAGTTACCCTTTTCCACCCCATGCGCCCAGCACAGTTACCCTTTTCCGCCCCATGCGCCCAGCACAGTTACCCTTTTCCGCCCCATGCGCCCAGCACAGTTACTCTTTTCCGTCCCATGCGCCCAGCACAGTTACCCTTTCCCGTCCCATGCGCCCAGCACAGTTACCCTTTCCCGTCCCATGGCCCAGCACAGTTACCCTTTTCCGCCCCATGGCCCAGCACAGTTACTCTTTTCCACCCCATGCGCCCAGCACAGTTACCCTTTCCCGTCCCATGCGCCCAGCACAGTTACTCTTTTCCGCCCCATGCGCCCAGCACAGTTACCCTTTCCCGTCCCATGCGCCCAGCACAGTTACCCTTTCCCGCCCCATGCGCCCAGCACAGTTACCCTTTCCCGTCCCACGAGCCCAGCACAGTTACCCTTTTCCGCCCCACGCGCCCAGCACAGTTACCCTTTCCCGTCCCACGCGCCCAGCACAGTTACCCTTTCCCGTCCCACGCGCCCAGCACAGTTACCCTTTCCCGCCCCACGCGCCCAGCACAGTTACCCTTTCCCGCCCCACGCGCCCAGCACAGTTACCCTTTCCCGTCCCACGCGCCCAGCACAGTTACCCTTTCCCGTCCCACGCGCCCAGCACAGTTACCCTTTCCCGCCCCACGCGCCCAGCACAGTTACCCTTTCCCGCCCCACGCGCCCAGCACAGTTACCCTTTCCCGTCCCACGCGCCCAGCACAGTTACCCTTTCCCGTCCCACGCGCCCAGCACAGTTACCCTTTCCCGTCCCACGCGCCCAGCACAGTTACCCTTTCCCGTCCCACGCGCCCAGCACAGTTACCCTTTCCCGTCCCACGCGCCCAGCACAGTTACCCTTTCCCGTCCCACGCGCCCAGCACAGTTACCCTTTCCCGTCCCACGCGCCCAGCACAGTTACCCTTTTCCGTCCCACGCGCCCAGCACAGTTACTCTTCCGTCCCACGCGCCCAGCACAGTTACCCTTTCCCGTCCCACGCGCCCAGCACAGTTACTCTTTTCCGTCCCACGCGCCCAGCACAGTTACTCTTTCCCGTCCCACGCGCCCAGCACAGTTACCCTTTCCCGTCCCACGCGCCCAGCACAGTTACCCTTTCCCGTCCCATGCGCCCAGCACAGTTACCCTTTCCCGTCCCAGGCGCCCAGCACAGTTACCCTTTCCCGTCCCACGCGCCCAGCACAGTTACCCTTTTCCGTCCCACGCGCCCAGCACAGTTACTCTTCCGTCCCATGCGCCCAGCACAGTTACTCTTTCCCGTCCCAGGCGCCCAGCACAGTTACTCTTTCCCGTCCCAGGCGCCCAGCACAGTTACCCTTTCCCGTCCCACGCGCCCAGCACAGTTACCCTTTCCCGTCCCACGCGCCCAGCACAGTTACTCTTTTCCGTCCCACGCGCCCAGCACAGTTACTCTTCCGTCCCATGCGCCCAGCACAGTTACCCTTTCCCGTCCCACGCGCCCAGCACAGTTACTCTTTTCCGTCCCATGCGCCCAGCACAGTTACTCTTTTCCGTCCCATGCGCCCAGCACAGTTACCCTTCCACCCCATGCGCCCAGCACAGTTACTCTTTTCCGTCCCATGCGCCCAGCACAGTTACTCTTTTCCGCCCCATGCGCCCAGCACAGTTACTCTTTTCCGTCCCATGCGCCCAGCACAGTTACTCTTTGCCGTCCCATGCGCCCAGCACAGTTACTCTTTGCCGTCCCATGCGCCCAGCACAGTTACTCTTTCCCGTCCCATGCGCCCAGCACAGTTACCCTTTCCCGTCCCATGCGCCCAGCACAGTTACCCTTTCCCGTCCCATGCGCCCAGCACAGTTACCCTTTCCCGTCCCATGCGCCCAGCACAGTTACCCTTTCCCGTCCCATGCGCCCAGCACAGTTACCCTTTCCCGTCCCAGGCGCCCAGCACAGTTACCCTTTCCCGTCCCACGCGCCCAGCACAGTTACTCTTTTCCGTCCCACGCGCCCAGCACAGTTACTCTTCCGTCCCATGCGCCCAGCACAGTTACTCTTTTCCGTCCCATGCGCCCAGCACAGTTACCCTTTTCCGTCCCAGGCGCCCAGCACAGTTACCCTTTCCCGTCCCATGCGCCCAGCACAGTTACCCTTTCCCGTCCCATGCGCCCAGCACAGTTACCCTTTTCCGTCCCATGCGCCCAGCACAGTTACCCTTTCCCGTCCCATGCGCCCAGCACAGTTACCCTTTTCCGTCCCATGCACCCAGCACAGTTACCCTTTCCCGTCCCATGCGCCCAGCACAGTTACCCTTTCCCGTCCCAGGCGCCCAGCACAGTTACTCTTTTCCACCCCATGCACCCAGCACAGTTACTCTTTTCCGTCCCATGCGCCCAGCACAGTTACTCTTCCACCCCATGCTCCCAGCACACTCTTCCGTCCCATGTGCCCAGTGCAGTCTTCCGTCCCATGCGCCCAGTGCAGTTACTCTTCCGTCCCATGCACCCAGCGCAGTTACTCTTTTCCATTCCATGCACCCAGCACAGTCATAGGCTTCCAGGGTAGGTACTGTCAATGTTTGTTCCAGGAAAACCCAATTCAGCTTTTCAAACAAGATTTATACACACCTTCAGGAGCAAGCATGCTTGAATATAATGAGTCTACCTTTAAGGTAAATTTCAGCTCTTTGGGTTTGTAATGGATGGAAAAAGGCAGGCAAAGAAACAATTTCAACATCTTCCAGCCCCAGAGATGTACAAATATTTTAGCAACATCCCAGTGACTAAATGGTGATTCAGCCGAGACGCCCCAAATAAACAGTCTCTATTCTTAACTCTGCTCCCATCTTACTGAAGCGTTACAAGGCTGTACTTACATCTGGGGTCAAGCCATTCTCATTTGGCTTCGAAATGATAACACAAAACTGTTACAATAACCTGGAACTGTAAGGGTCCTGGGGATCCCACATTCAGTCCCACCCGTGTCATGGATGAACCCGGGACCAGCAGGGCAGCCAGCCAGAGGCAAACCCACACCAGGACCTGGCGCTCGGCCATGTGCCTGCGTTTTCCAATATTGATGTCGACGTGGGAGGCAAGTTGCTATGGAGGAAACGCGCACACACATCTGAGATTATTAAATAGCAGCCGCTAACTGCCTCGATGCAGGAGTCCCATCTCCCCAAACAAATTCTGGCTGTGATGCCAACTGCAGCAGGACGGTTAGTGGTGCCGCTGGCACCGAGAGCACCTGGCCTGGTGGACCTGTCTCCCAGACCTGCTGGGGAGCGCCGTGTGCTCAGCTGAACACGGCTCCTGTGGCCACAGTCCTGTGTTGCTCCCGTGGTTCGGCCGGCGAAGCTCCGTGTTCATGTGCACAGCCACATTGGCCATTTTGACCCAACAGACACTCAAGCAACTCTTGCGTGAATTTGGTGGGAAGATCCATCGAATGTATTGTTTTTGGACTAACCTGATGAGTCCCTTTGGTAAAGCAGTCCCACTGACTATGCCTGTGGACCCAGCTGGGTGCAGCCATCTCTGACTGTATGGTGTCCATCCTGAGCTCCAAGTCATCAGAGAGCGGCCAGGAGTGCATCTGACTTTGCTGGTGACCTGCATCTTATCTGCGTCCACACTCAACTGTGTGCAGCGGCCCAGGAAGGTGGAGGGCTGCTGAGCTGCTTTAGAAAATGAGGGTTTGAAGCTGCCCTTTGGAAATGATTAGGTTGTTCAAAAGTAATTGAGCTTTCTCAAAAGGCAGCTGGGGCTAAAATAAATGGAAGTCTACTTAACATATTGTTAAAAATATGAAGGGGTTGAATGGCATCAAAACACATTAAATGACAGAACATGACTCGCCTCCTTGGCTGGATTCTAAACTCCTCGGGGCAGGCGCTTTCTTTAGTGACACTCTCAGTGTTGTTTGTGGGAGACGCTCCGCAAATGTGGGGAGCAGGTGGGCGCCTTTGGTCCCCGTCCTCCTGGCAGGCAGTGGCTGAGTACCTTCTCGGGAAAGGAGGCCCCCGTGAGGCTGGGTGGGCTCTGAATTCCCGGTGTGTTGATAGCGATCGGCACATGCCTCAAGCCACCTGGAAGAGAAGCTGCCCCAAGATTCTCCAGGCCCTTTCTGAGCTGAAGGTGACGTGACAGACAGGCTTCAAAGAAGGGTCAGAGACGGCCGGTGGGTGGGCCCCGTTCCCAAACACCCACCTTGGATCTCATGCCCTGGAGCAGAGCATGTGTCCTGGTCCTGCCTGGGCGAGGCCGGCACCCGCTGCCCTAGCTTCACCACTGGTAGCCCCAAGCATCTCTGGCTGGGGATACATCACCCGATCACACCAGCCCGAGAACCTTCCCTTTCCCACCACCATTCAAAGGAGGCTGCTCTTAGCCAGAAGGCCTCTGTGTTCCAGGCTTAAATCTGGGCGAGATTCAGGGTTTAACTCTGGCCTTGCAGTTTTAGAGGTTGTTATAGGCTGAATTGTGACCCCCCAAATCCATCCATTGAAGCTCTGATCCCCATGTGCCTATATTTGGAGACAGGACCTCCAAGGAGCTAATTAAGGTTCAATGAGGCCAAAAGGGCGGCCCCGATCCTACAGGACTGGTGTCCTTACAAGAAGAGTGAGAGACACCCCGTGCCTGCACCAGGGAAAGGCCGTGTGAGGACATGGGGAGAAGATGCTGTCCACAAGCCCGGGAGAGAGGTCACAGGAAGAACCGCCCCCACCCCCGCCGCCCCCCACAGCTTGGTCTGGGACTGTCAGAGCTGTGAGAACAGACGTGTCCTGCAGTTTAATGCACCCAGTCTGTGGTCCTGGGCACGGCCACCCGTGATGACTTACACACAGATGCACGCAGACGGCTTGGGGAGCATGGCCAGTGCTTGTCTTAGTGTGGGAGGCTTGGTGTCCGCCCCTGGCCACGGAGTCTCGTGTCTCCTGCTCTTTCGTGGACGGCGCTCACCTACATCTTACATGCAGGTCCCTCCATGTTGAGTGAAAAAATCAGAGGAGGTACAATCCCACCAGTGCCCGGCTGGACACATATTGGTTTTGGAGCCAAGGGGTAACAGTTTCCCTCTACAAATGAAAAGCTCCTCTCCGTCCTGGTGGGATGGGGATGACATTTTTAAAGGGTAGAGTAAATGTGCTCCTGCTTCAGGTGCCCTTTGCAGAGGCTTCCCGAGTCTCCCGGGGGCAATGCATCTTCTCAGTAAGAAGAAACCCCAGCAAGAAATCACACCAGGCGTCTTGGATAAACAGAAGTGAACTACGTCCTGGTTGCAGCTGTATTTATTTCACACATTCATTTAAAAAGTTAATTTGACATGTATTTCATGAAGCTTCGGTACACACGCCACGTTGCTCCCCGATTTTATCTTCATGCGTCTTCCTTCACCAGACGGCCTGGCGAGCTCACTCTCCTGTCTGAGGGCTGAGAAGCCCAAGCTCGCCCCAGACTGGGGCCTGTGTGGACGCGGCCCCCAGCAGTGTTCCTGTGTCCGTGGTTTGGAGGCTCTGTTCGCTGAGCCTCAGCACGACCTCAACCTGATCTGGGAGTCTGAGTGCGCTGGGCTTGGAGGGCACGTGTGCTGTGAGTGAGCCCTACATGCAGGAGCATGGTGCTCTCTGGCCGGGCAGCCTCACCTCCAGTGGAAGCTAAGCGTTGTGCCCGGGCAGGGGGCGCAGGCAGGAGGGCTGAGCTTCCCTGGTTATCCCCTGAGGCGAGGACGCAGCAGCAAGTTCCCATCCCCTGGCCTGGCTTCTCTGGGCCCAGGCGCTCCCATTCGTACTCACGGTCCTGAGTTGAGCTCCAGAGTGTTCCCCTACAGGGAGGGGTTTGCTTTCCCCAGAATGGGGCCTGGGCGTGGCAGCCCCTCCACAGAGGAAGGGCCCTGGTCCTCGGGAGCATTTACAGCATCGTGGGTGCCGGCTGGGGCGCCAGCCACCAAGGCCACAAGGCCGGCTTAGAAGGTCTGGAAGAGCCTGACTAGGAATTAGGATGCTGTGCGTTAATCTGCAAATACCACCCCCGATGCGGGGAGGACCTGGTGTCTGGGCGGGGGAGGAGGCTCCGAGGGGCTCTTGCTGCCTTGGCCAGACCTGCAGCAGCAGGGACAGAGGCTCCCGGGAATGCCTGGGTCAGAAGAGAGGGCTCTGCCACTCACCCCTCCTCTCTTCTCATCCATCTCCTGGTGCCCCAAAGGGCCTCACTGTTCCTGTGGAGAGCTGTTATTTTGAAATTATATCTTGTCATGAAAGTTTCACTTTTAAACACTATTAAGGCCTCTCGGTATTATACTTCTTTTGAAACATCTATTAGAATAAGGATCTCACAGGCAGCTGAGAATCAACAGGAATGTGGCCGTACACAATAAGCTCCACGTGACCCAGGGGGACGTATCTGTGTGCTCTGGGAAGGCTGACATTTCAACATTCCTGGCGTCTGAATTCGACATCTCTCCCACCACCGGGAAGGAGGCGCCCCAGAGGGGAGGGAGGTGCTGGGGAGCGGGATTGAGAGCCTGATACTGGCGTGAAGTTCATCAGCAGAGGAGCGAAGGGAGGAGGGCAGGGTCAAGACCAGGGACTCATGGAAGCATTTGGCATCCTGTGAAGTTTCTCAGCCTCTGGAGGCTCCTCTCTGATGGGAGCCTTATCCGAGAGGTGGGTGGGAGGGACGCAGGCTGCCGGTGCTGGTCCCGGGTTGTTTGTGGTGCAGCCAGCGGCTGGTCACTCACATGCAGACTGAGCTGACGCTTAGGACAAAATCCATGTTTTTTCATTTTGAATAAAATCACTCGATATTTGACATTTTAGGCATTGAAGTCGTCATCACGGCTCATCACAGGAGAAATCAGAGCTCTGTGCTGTTGTTTCTGGATACGTGCTTGTTTTAGGGTTTTGTATGTATTATTTCAGAGCTCCGTGCTGTTTCTGGACACGTGTTTTAGGGTTTTGTATGTATTATTTCTAGTTCCATGAAGGGGTAGGGGCATCATGTCCTTAGGATGCTCACAGGTCAAATTAGGGCTGTCCCACCAGCCACCCACACATCCCCAGCGACTTTGGTTTGGAGGAAGATGGAAAAGAGTCAGGAGAGAGGGGTGCAGCCCAGGAGACAGAGCACCTGGAAGGATTTGATTTTAAGATTTAACTTCGCATTAGGGGTTTTCTTCATAGGCTCCTGCAATTCAGATAGTATCTTTATTCCAAGGAGCTTTGAGTGGTTTCTGCATCAGTTTTCATTTCTTGTTCCCAAATCTCTGTGACATAGGGAGACAGGCCTTTCTCTAAAACCCACTGCAGACATGAAGAGCCACAGCCGGGGGGGACTCACCCAAGGTCACACGGTTAATCCTCCATGTTCCGGAGATTAAAGCAAACTCCATGGCTCTCAGTCTCGTCTGAAACTTCATGCCTCTGAATTGCCCCTGAATTACCCACATAACAGCAGCTGGACACAAATATAAGCAGCAGCAGATGTGATGTTGGCTGGGACAGCCGAGGGAAACTGGTAAAATGCCTCTTCTTCCTGACTACTCTCTCACCCCGGCATCTGCCTCCAGAGTCTCGCAGCCTTTGGAGATGGGTTTGCGGCCCAGGGGCACCTGCGTTGTAGCTTATTCGTCTATGAGGGGAGGAAAAGATGGTCTCCTGTAAAAAATGTTAAAGTGCCAGCAAGAAATTGAGGGTAGTATCTTGGAGTGTTGTGAGAAGAGCCGTCCTGAGTTCTGACGGTCACCATACAGGCAGAGTGACACCTGTGCCTTCAGCTGCCCCGAGGTCAACTCAATGCCAACTGCCATCTGGGACTCTTGGAGAGCTCTTTCTCCCCAGGTGTGACCAGACAAGGTTGTTATGGAATCAAATACCAAATTATGGCAGATGCTAATTTCAGTCATCTTGCACACAGATCAGCCCTGGGGTCACCATACTGTGTTTTTGGGACACTCCAAGATGGATGTGCTTTGGTTCTGACGGCAGAGAACAGGACACCTCCCAAGGTGACCGCAAGGAGGCCTGAGCTCCTGGGCCGCTCATTCCACCCCCTCTGCGTGCTCACGCATGGCTCCCCAGCAAGACAGAGCAGCTTTCCTCTGACCTCTTCCTCTTCCAGAAGCCAGAGCCAGCCAGGGTTCAGGGAGAGCGGAATCACTGGGACTGTATGGAGTTTCCACTTTTAGCACAGCTGGATCTTTTCATTAATTTTTTTATATCTACATGGGTTTAACTGTACATTATATTGTGCTTTTTTATTGCTGATTCGGCCAGCAGGACCCCTTCCTCCATATGCCTTTTATCACTTTATTTAACCGTGTTGTACACATACACCCACTTTGCTTTGTATATGGTGAGCTACCTTAATGCCATTGCCCAGATGCAGATTTGTTATTATGTATACATTGTTAAATTTAACACTTTCCTTGGTGGATCAGGTTCCTGTAGGGCACAGAACACTAACCTATCAATGACCCAGACTCAGAAAAGCCACCAGAGAACCAGCAAGGTCAAATTGCTTCGGCTTCAGCTCCGGAACATCGTCTCCCTCCGTCCACGGCAACGCGGGAGCCTGACCAGCTCCGGAACATCGTCTCCCTCCATCCACGGCAAGGCAGGGGGAGCCTCACCAGCTCCGGAACCCCGTCTCCCTCCGTCCACGGCAACGCGGGAGCCTGACCAGCTCCGGAACCCTGTCTCCCTCTGTCCACGGGGTGACTTCATGCTGCCATGGCCATCACCTGGGTTGGGGGTGGGTAGTGCCCAGGGCAGGGGAAACACACAGAGCAACTGAAATATTGTCGTCTTTCCCCAGAGAGGGCTCCAAGGAGTGGCGGGAGCTTCTCAGAGGCTCCTAATCAATGCTTTTTCTTTTAAACAATCCACGAGCTAATGAGAGGGTGGAGAATCCCATCCCGATGGGCACTGGCTTCTTTCCAGCAAGCCTCGGAATCACCTCAGTGCCCCTGGCCCACGGGATCCCAGGAATCAAGTTCTGATGGATTTGTAAGCAGATTCGTTCTTCAGATTATAATTAGAGCCGCTCTCTCTCCCCGCCTTTTTGAAAGTTCCCATTAGCCTGAGCAAGGGCCAAAATATTATTGGAAAACCCATGGGCCACTTTGTTCCCTCTGTACCACAGGTTAAAACCCTATTTACTTTGTCAGAGAGGAAAAAATAATCAAATAAACTCTCCATTTCAGATGCTACTGAAACGAGCAACAAGGGAAGGGGGGAGATGATGCTCATGTGATTTGGAGGCCAAAGGTGCTTCTAACTCACAGTCGGAGCCACCCCACGCCTCCTTCCACAGGCTCCATGACGGCAAAGGCCCTGTCCACCAGCCCTATGGAAAAGAGCCTGGCTCCAGCACCTTTCCTGGGACTTGATTTCCTCACTTTTTAAAATGACTTGCCAATCAATTATCAATTGATAATGACTACTGATTGCAACATATCTTTAGTAAGTAAAATGAAAGGTGTGTCTTACTACTGCTGGCTGTTTCCGGCCAACAAGCCCAAGACTGAGAATTGGTGAAGGAAGGCATTGCCTGTGGACCTCCCTCCCATGGGTGCCCGGCCTGCTCTTAGTCCCCCACTGAAGGCTCTTCGGCACCTAGAGCCCCATCATCCCTTCCCCGTGTGTTTGCTAACGCTGTTCATCTTGTCTAGGATGCTTCTCCTCCATCAAAACCACTTCAAGAATCAGTCCCTCCTGGAACCCTCCCCGGAGACGCTCTCTTCCTCACCTCTCTCTGGACATTTGCAGGAAGAAGCAAGACCCGTCCACATGACCCATGCACGATTCAGTGGCTCTCCTCCCTCTGGGAGGTCAGTTTTACTGGTTGTACGTGGAGTCCTCTAAGCTATGAGGGAAGAAGGGGACAACTGTTTGGCCAAACCATAGTCTCTGTGGCCCTTGGGAAGAAGGATGTTGTGGACACTGCACCTGGCATCTCCTGGGCTTCTGTCCTCTCTCAGCTTTGCTCTTCATGTCCCCGGCATTTTTAACTCCTAGCTCAGTTACTTCTCTGCTCATCTTTCCTCTTAGACTTGGGGTCCTTGAGGGCCAGCTCTATGTCTGGTTCATCTTTGCATTCTCCATCAGATTGCAGAAGTTGTGTCAACGACGAACCAATAAATGAATGTGTGCAGTCGGGTGTGGCAGGGACCAACAATCTGACCAGCGCTCTTTCTGTGTGGATGGTCTGGCCCTGTGTTGACAAACACCTAAATAATCCAGCACGATTCCCTTCTAGATGTATCTCTCTACGGTGACTGACTGTGCTCAATGCTTACAACTAGGCTTTTTCCAATCACCTGTAACTCATGTGAATGTGGTCACTGATTTGAGCATCAAAAGGGCCAAAGTTATCGAGGGCTTTTGCATATGTAGATGGAGAACAGGTGACTGGGGTAACGCGTTATTTACCTGTATTTAGATGGGCAGTCTCCAGATGTTTTTAAACAGGTGACTGGGGTAACCAGCTACTTAACTGTATTTAGACGGGGCAGTCTCCAGAGATTTTTGAAAAGGAAGAAGGAAGTAAATTCAGTTACTTGGATACAAGTAGGACAGAAAATATTCCTTTGAGATTGTGAGGGTATTTATTCATTGAACAGTTTTAGAGGTACAGAGAGACTACTTGATGAGCTGACTTCTGTTTTTTTTTTTTTTTCCAGAAGTGGGTATCTAGGTTTGCTGATTGCTGGAGTAAACGATGAATGTGGATGGCAGGGCAGCATTTTGGAGGTGAAGCCATCTGCAGATGCGTGTACCCCACGAGGGTGAGAAGCTCCAAGCACACCCAGAATCTAGGGTGGGGGACTGTTCGCCTGAGCAGCACCAACTCCATCTCAAGATGTGTGTCTGCTGTCTGTTGCTGTTCTTTGTTTGAGCTTTGAACTCCTCACATAACCCCTTAACTGTCCTCTTGATCTTTTATTCATGAGCTTGACACATTGGGCAGAAAGACACAGTCTCAGTGAGATGATACCAACTTGGAGCTTAGTTTCTTCTTCTTAATACCTTTTGCTTGTAATTCCAAAGTATTGATATTAAATACTCATAAGTAGCCAAGGAAGAGGACCATCCCACTACTCAGTTTAATCTGTCTTGAAAATGCTTCGGTATTGCATGAACGTGATGCATGATCCAACCCAATGCTCTGTGCTAAGGCTGTGCTTGTGTTATCTGTGGTGAAGAGAACCTTGTAATGAATGGACCACTCACTGAGCCAGGCTGTGCTTGTGTTATCTGTGGTGGAGAGAACCTTGTAATGAACGGACCACTCACTGAGCCTGGGCAGCTCCCTGCATCTGACTTCTGGAGAGTTCTAGAGATACTCACAGGTCAGGAGGTCTCTTGGGGTGAGGGCAGGGGAGGCAGCTCTGGGAACCGACCATCAGCAAAGGTCAGAGACTTAGATGCCCATCCAGTGGGTTCGAATGTCAGCCGCCTTCCACAGCGAGGTCTGGTAATGGGCTTGGACCTGCCTGAATCCTCCTGGCTAAGCTGTGGAGTGGAGCCAGGAGTGCTGTCTGCTCACGGTGGGACCAGCCTGCAATCGGTGCGGCGGGCTATGCTTAGGGCCTAAGAATTAGGCTTCCCACCTGCCAGCGATACAGGCACGGGATAGGCCACATTACCCTGCTTTTGTGACTCATCCTTCCTCCATTTAAGTGGGACCCACACTTGTGGCTGGGATAACAATTTCCAGGTTGGCTGAGTTGGGCTCCTGGCAAGCCATGGCTGGGATAGCTATCTCCAGGTTGGCTGAGTTGGGCTCCTGGCAAGCCATGGCTGGGATAGCTATCTCCGGGTTGGCTGAGTTAGGTTCCTGGCAAGGCCATGGCTGGGGTAACGATCTCCAGGTTGGCTGAGCTGGGCTTCTGGCAAGTCCGTGGCTGGGATAGCTATCTCTGGGTTGGCTGAGTTGGGCTCTCGGCAAGGCTGTGGCTGGGATAACAATCTCCAGGTTGGCTGAGCTGGGCTTCTGGCAAGGCCGTGGCTGGGATAGTTATTTCCAGGTTGGCTGAATTAGGTTCCTGGCATGGCTGTGAAAGTGCTGCCCCATTTCTTTGCCACCAGCCACGGAAGTCGCAGCTCCCTGTGTCCTCTTTGCACGTTGCATGTGTCGTGGTGGGAGCTGTGAGGCGGTGCCGTGACGGGGCGATGCTGCTGCAGGAGACGTGCTCCGGGGCACGACTCTGACGCAGCTTAGAAGAGCTAATGCTTGACACCATCTGGATCCCCTTCATGCTTTCTGTTTTTATGGGAAGTCCTAATTCAACACATGTTTCCTGAGGTGCTACTACGTGCTAGGTTACTGGGTACAGCAAGACCATGGAGGAATCAGAGCGTAAACAAGCGGGCGCGAGGTGGTCCAGGCATGGAGGGCACAGAAGCCGTGATGCTGGGGTGGGCTGGGGGTCAGCTGGCCTCAACGGGGTGAACACAGCAGCTCTCCCAGACATCGAAGGAGATTCAAGGAGCCTGAAACTCAAACAAGTGGAAGAGGCTGGAACGTCACCTAAGGTGATAGGAACTGGGGACCCGACCTGGCGCCCGTTCAACAGACCCAAGCCTCCCATCCCAGCATCGGGCCGTGATGTGCCGTCCATTACACAACGATGGAATCTGCTCTGGGAAGAATAAATGGCTCTGGTGAGCATGCTCAGAATTCCATTTTAATATTAAAAAATTTAAAATAATTCTTGGTTTAAAACACAAATAGAGGTATAATATAGTAGCCATCTAGAACCTCAATTTAAGATATGAGATTGGGTCTGCTTTTGAATTTTAGAAAGTAGTAAGAGTCTGCTGTTTTCATGTTTAAATGTGTGAGGCACTTCAGTACCATCAGAACGTGTGCAGAAGACGGAGGATGTGGAAGGGCCCCCAAGGACAGGTCTGTCTGCCTGGTGGACACTGAGTGAGGCGGAGGGGAAGCCACAGATCCCCACTGTCCTCATCACTCAGGCACATCCAGGCTGATGAAAAAGCAACAGAATGGGTTCAAAGGCCTCTTACCAAACGACTCGGGGCTTCCCTCAGCCCCTGGGTGTTCACTTCAGCCGCACCCCAGTCCCCCGGCATCTCTGAGGGGCCCTGAGGCGTGTCACCTCACTCCCCACCACCCCTCACTTCTGCCTCCATGAAATGTGGGTCCCCTTCCAGGCGGCACCTTCCTTACGAGGACTACGGGTGTCTGAGAGGCGCCTCTGAGTCCCTATGCCACCGCATCTGGGTTGGGTCACGATGCTCCCCTTGCACGGAGCTAAGATTTAGAGACCGAGACAGCTCCAGGAGTGGCCACCCCAGCATTTCTCAGGGGAAGAAATGAGGATGAAAGAGGTGGAGCTCGTACAGTCAGCAACGGTGGCCCCTGGGCAGACCCTAGAGCTCCTGGGGCCCTGCCCAGGTCCTTCTGTGTATGTCTCAGCCCAGGTCATCACAGATCCAGCCAGTGATCTGCTGGATGAGAAGCTTCTGCACGGACTCGTCCACCCTCTCACTGTAAACATTGCTCCAGACGAACGCAAGGCTGAGAGCCGGGGGTGGTCTGCGGGAGGCAGGCATGGGGGAGAGGACAGGCTGCGGGAGGCAGGTTGGGGGAGAGGACAGGCTGCGGGAGGCAGGTTGGGGGAGAGGACAGGCTGCGGGAGGCAGGCTCAGGGACAGGGCAGGCTCAGGGAGGCAGGCTGGGGGAGAGGGCAGGCTGCACAATGCTGGGCTCCTCCGACAATGCTCACCTCTCTTCTCCCCTCCATTTGCACCTCAGTCCTGATATTTATCTCCCCAAAACGTCTGGGACACTGGGCAGAGGCTGAGTGAGGGTGCCAGCATCTGCAGGGCAGGCTGGAGGCCGCTGCTTTGCTCTCAAATGTCAGCATCTTTTGTAGGCTCCAGAACCGTGTGGATAAAGCAAAACGCTCACCCAAGAGGAAGCTGATACAGCAGCAAAGACCACCCAACGATCTGGTTCCTACCCATTTCCAGGCAGTCGGTAAATGAAACCTAACATGTTTGACGCACGCCCTGATTTGACCATCACAAAGCTCCTTCTCCGGCTGCAGGATGCACTCAGCACGCACGCCACAAACATGGAGATCACAGGACTCCCTACACACCATAGTCCATACAGGGCCTTGAGTGTGGAGATCACAGGCCTCCCCTGCACCCCACAGTCCTCACAGGGCCCTGAGTGTGGAGATCACAGGACTCCCTACACCCCACAGTCCTCCCTACACCCCACAGTCCTCACAGGGCCAAGAGCATGGAGATCATGGGCCTCCCTACACCCCACAGTCCTCATGGGACCCTGAGCATGAAGATCACGGGCCTCCCCTAGACCCCACAGTCCTCATGGGACCCTGAGCATGGAGATCATGGGCCTCCCTACACTCCACAGTCCACATGGGGCCAAGAGCATGGAGATCATGGGCCTCCCCTAGACCCTACAGTCCTCACGGGGCCCTGAGCAAGGAGATCATGGGATTCCCTACAACCCACAGTCCTCACGGGGCCCTGAGCAAGGAGATCACGGGACTCCCCGCACCCCACAGTCCACACGGAGCCCTGAGTGTGGAGATCACGGGACTCCCTACACCCTACAGTACTCACGGGGCCCTGAGCAAGGAGATCACGGGACTCCCTGCACCCCACAGTCCACACGGGGCCCTGAGTGTGATCACGGGACTCCCTACACCCCACAGTCCTCACGGGGCCAAGGGCGTGGAGATCACGGGCCTCCATACACCCCACAGTCCTCACGGTGCCAACAGCATAGAGATCACGGGCCTCTATACACCCCACAGTCTTCACGGGGCCCTGAGTATGGAGATCACGGGACTGCCCTGCACCCACAGTCCTCAGCAGTTTTTAGAGCAGAAGATGCCCATTAAAGGCAGATCTCTTCCGTTCAGCTGCCTGGTCTGCTGAGCAGTTGAGGGGGATGGTGAGGCAGTGTGGGAATCCGCATGTGTTGAGGCCTGCATCCCTGAGCTGCGGGCAGTTGAGGTGATTCTGAGGCCTGTGTCCCTGAGCTGTGGGCTGTTGAGGTGATTCTGAGGCCTGCGTCCCTGAGCTCTGGGCTGTCCGGGTGATTCTGAGGCCTGCGTCTCTCAGCTGTGGGCTGTTGAGGTGACTCTGAGGCCTGCATCTCTGAGCTGTGGGCTGTTGAGGCGATTCTGAGGCCTGCGTCCCTGAGCTCTGGGCTGTCCGGGTGATTCTGAGGCCTGCGTCTCTCAGCTGTGGGCTGTTGAGGTGACTCTGAGGCCTGCATCTCTGAGCTGTGGGCTGTTGAGGCGATTCTGAGGCCTGCGTCCCTGAGCTGTGGGCTGTTGAGGCGATTCTGAGGCCTGCGTCCCTGAGCTCTGGGCTGTCCGGGTGATTCTGAGGCCTGCGTCTCTCAGCTGTGGGCTGTTGAGGTGACTCTGAGGCCTGCATCTCTGAGCTGTGGGCTGTTGAGGCGATTCTGAGGCCTGCGTCCCTGAGCTGTGGGGTGTCCGGGCGATTCTGAGGCCTGCGTCTCTGAGCTGTGGGCTGTCCGGGTGATTCTGAGGCCTGCGTCTCTCAGCTGTGGGCTGTTGAGGTGACTCTGAGGCCTGCATCTCTGAGCTGTGGGCTGTTGAGGCGATTCTGAGGCCTGTGTCCCTGAGCTGTGGGCTATTGAGGTGATTCTGAGGCCTGCGTCCCTGAGCTGCGGGGTGTCCGGGTGATTCTGAGGCCTGCGTCCCTGAGCTGTGGGCTGTTGAGGTGATTCTGAAGCCTGCGTCCCTGAGCTGTGGGGTGTCCGGGTGATTCTGAGGCCTGCGTCCCTGAGCTTTGAGCTACCCGGGTGATTCTGAGGCCTGCGTCCCTGAGCTGTGGGCTGTTGAGGTGATTCTGAGGCCTGTGTCCCTGAGCTGTGGGGTGTCCGGGTGATTCTGACGCCTGCGTCCCTGAGCTTTGAGCTACCCGGGTGATTCTGAGGCCTGCGTCCCTGAGCTGTGGGCTGTTGAGGTGATTCTGAGGCCTGTGTCCCTGAGCTGTGGGGTGTCTTGGTGATTCTGACGCCTGCGTCCCTGAGCTGTGGGGTGCCTGGCTGATTCTGAGGCCTGCGTCCCTGAGCTGCGGGGTGTATGGGTGATTCTGAGGCCTGCGTCTCTGAGCTGTGGGCTGTTGAGGTGATTCTGAGGCCTGCGTCCCTGAGCTGCGGGGTGTCCGGGTGATTCTGAGGCCTGCGTCTCTGAGCTGTGGGCTGTTGAGGTGATTCTGAGGCCTGCGTCTCTGAGCTGTGGGGTGTCCGGGTGATTCTGAGGCCTGTGTCCCTGAGCTGCGGAGTGTCTGGGTGATTCTTAGGTCTGCGTCTCTGAGCTGGGGGGTGTCCGGGTGATTCTGAGGCCTGCGTCCCTGAGCTGTGGGCTGTTGAGGTGATTCTGAGGCCTGCGTCTCTGAGCTGTGGGGTGTCCGGGTGATTCTGAGGCCTGTGTCCCTGAGCTCTGGTCTGTTCAGGTGATTCTGAGGCCTGAATCCCTGAGCTCTAGGGTGTCTGGGTGATTCTGAGGTCTGCGTCCCTGAGCCGCGGGCTGTTGACGTGATTCTGATGCCTGTGTCCCTGAGCTGTGGGCTGTTCAGGTGATTGTGAGGCCTGCGTCTATGAGCTGTGGGCTGTTGAGGTGATTCTGAGGCCTGTGTCCCTGAGCTCTGGGGTGTCTGGGTGATTCTGAGGCCTGCGTCTCTGAGCTGTGGGGTGTCCGGGTGATTCTGAGGCCTGCGTCTCTGAGCTGTGGGGTGTGCGGGTGATTCTGAGGCCTGCGTCCCTGAGCTGTGGGCTGTTGAGGTGATTCTGAGGCCTGCGTCCCTGAGCTGTGGGGTGTGCGGGTGATTCTGAGGCCTGCGTCCCTGAGCTGTGGGCTGTTGAGGTGATTCTGAGGCCTGTGTCCCTGAGCTCTGGAGTGTCTGGGTGATTATGAGGCCTGTGTCCCTGAGCTGTGGGGTGTCCGGGTGATTCTGAGGCCTGCGTCTCTGAGCTGTGGGGTGTCCGGGTGATTCTGAGGCCTGCGTCTCTGAGCTGTGGGGTGTCCGGGTGATTCTGAGGCCT
This sequence comes from Homo sapiens, assembly GCF_000001405.40. NCBI lineage: Eukaryota > Metazoa > Chordata > Mammalia > Primates > Hominidae > Homo > Homo sapiens. Next base: position 53,382 of record NT_187563.1, read on the forward strand.
GCGTCTCTGAGCTGTGGGGTGTCCGGGTGATTTTGAGGCCTGCGTCTCTGAGCTGTGGGGTGTCCGGGTGATTCTGAGGCCTGCGTCTCTGAGCTGTGGGGTGTCCGGGTGATTCTGAGGCCTGCGTCTCTGAGCTGTGGGGTGTCCGGGTGATTCTGAGGCCTGCGTCCCTGAGCTGTGGGCTGTTGAGGTGATTCTGAGGCCTGCGTCCCTGAGCTCTGGGCTGTCCGGGTGATTCTGAGGCCTGCGTCTCTCAGCTGTGGGCTGTTGAGGTGATTCTGAGGCCTGCGTCCCTGAGGTGTGGGGTGTCCGGGCGATTGTGAGGCCTGTGTCCCTGAGCTGCAGGCTGTTGAGGTGATTCTGAGGCCTGCGTCCCTGAGCTGTCTGGTGTCTGGGTGATTCTGACCCCTGCGTCTCTGAGCTGTAGGGTGTCTGGGAGATTCTGAGGCCTGCGTCCCTGAGCTGTGAGCTGTTGAGGTAATTCTGAGGCCTGCGTCCCTGAGGTAGGAGCTGCCCGGGTGATTCTGAGGCCTGCGTCCCTGAGCTGTGGGGTGTCCGGGCAATTCTGAGGCCTGCGTCCCTGAGCTGTGAGCTGCCTGGGTGATTTTGAGGCCTGCGTCCCTGAGCTGCGGGGTTTCTCGGTAATTCTGAGGCCTGTGTCCCTGAGCTGTGGGGTGTCTGGGTGATTCTGAGGCCTGCGTCCCTGAGCTGCATGCAGTTGAGGTGATTCTGAGGCCTGCGTCCCTGAGCTGCGGGGTGTATGGGTGATTCTGAGGCCTGTGTCCCTGAGCTGTGGGCTGTTGAGGTGATTCTGAGGCCTGCGTCTCTGAGCTGGGGGGTGTCCGGGTGATTCTGAGGCCTGCGTCCCTGAGCTCTGGTCTGTTCAGGTGATTCTGAGGCCTGAATCCCTGAGCTCTGGGGTGTCTGGGTGATTCTGAGGTCTGCATCTCTGAGCCGCGGGCTGTTGACGTGATTCTGATGCCTGCGTCCCTGAGCTGTGGGCTGTTCAGGTGATTGTGAGGCCTGCGTCTATGAGCTGTGGGCTGTTGAGGTGATTCTGAGGCCTGCGTCCCTGAGCTCTGGGGTGTCCGGGTGATTCTGAGGCCTGTGTCCCTGAGCTGCGGGGTGTCTGGGTGATTCTGAGGCCTGCGTCCCTGAGCTGCGGGTTGTCTGGGTGATTCTGAGGCCTGCGTCCCTGAGCTGTGGGCTGTTGAGGTGATTCTGAGGCCTGCGTCCCTGAGCTGTGGGCTGTTGAGGTGATTCTGAGGCCTGCGTCCCTGAGCTGTGGGCTGTTGAGGTGATTCTGAGGCCTGCGTCCCTGAGCTGTGGGCTGTTGAGGTGATTCTGAGGCCTGTGTCCCTGAGCTGTGGGCTGTTGAGGTGATTCTGAGGCCTGCGTCTCTGAGCTGTGGGGTGTCCGGGTGATTCTGATGCCTGTGTCCCTGAGCTCTGGGCTGTCCGGGTGATTCTGAGGCCTGCGTCTCTCAGCTGTGGGCTGTTGAGGTGATTCTGAGGCCTGCGTCCCTGAGCTGTGGGCTGTTGAGGTGATTCTGAGGCCTGCGTCCCTGAGCTGTGGGGTGTCCGCGTGATTCTGAGGCGTGCGTCCCTGAGCTGTGAACTGCCCGGGTGATTCTGAGGCCTGCGTCCCTGAGGTGCGGGGTGTGCGGGTGATTCTGCGGCCTGTGTCCCTGAGCGGTGGGCTGTCCGGGTGATTCTGAGGCCTGCGTCCCTGAGCTACAGGCTGTTGAGGTGATTCTGTGGCCTGTGTCCCTGAGCTGTGGGGTGTCCGGGTGATTCTGAGGCCTGCGTCTCTGAGCTGTGGGGTGTCCGGGTGATTCTGAGGCCTGCGTCTCTGAGCTGTGGGGTGTCCGGGTGATTCTGAGGCCTGCGTCCCTGAGCTGTGGGGTGTCCGGGTGATTCTGAGGCCTGCGTCCCTGAGCTACAGGCTGTTGAGGTGATTCTGTGGCCTGTGTCCCTGAGCTGTGGGGTGTCTGGGTGATTCTGAGGCCTGCGTCTCTGAGCTGTGGGGTGTCCGGGTGATTCTGAGGCCTGCGTCCCTGAGCTACAGGCTGTTGAGGTGATTCTGTGGCCTGTGTCCCTGAGCTGTGGGGTGTCTGGGTGATTCTGAGGCCTGCGTCCCTGAGCTGTGGGCTGTTGAGGTGATTCTGAGGCCTGCGTCCCTGAGCTACAGGCTGTTGAGGTGATTCTGTGGCCTGTGTCCCTGAGCTCTGGGGTGTCTGGGTGATTCTGAGGCCTGCGTCCCTGAGCTGTGGGCTGTTGAGGTGATTCTGAGGCCTGCGTCCCTGAGCTGTGGGCTGTTGAGGTGATTCTGAGGCCTGCGTCCCTGAGCTGTGGGGTGTCCGCGTGATTCTGAGGCGTGCGTCCCTGAGCTGTGAACTGCCCGGGTGATTCTGAGGCCTGCGTCCCTGAGCTGTGGGCTGTTCACGTGATTCTGAGGCCTGTGTCCCTGAGCTGTAGACTGTTCGGGTGACTCTGAGGCCTGCTTCTCTGTGCTGTGGGCTCCCCAGGGGATTCTGAGGGCTCTTTTGCTTGTGGCCCTTCTGCTTGGCATGCATACTCAGGCCTGCAACATAGCACATGGTCCTGATCCTTCTTCGTAATGTGTATTTTACTGGTTGGTTGCTTGTTGTTCATAATTTTTATTATATCATCTTTTAGAGAATGCTCGATTTAGAGAAAAAAGGATGAGTTTTGGAAGCAGCCCTACCAATGTTCTTTCTCTTGTTTCTTGTTGTGTGGTTTTGGCCAAACGATCAAAACAATCAAATCTCTGGGTCTTGGCTTCCCCCACGGCAATGAGGCTGGCCGGATGTAGGGAGTGAGGCGTAGAGGATGAGCTCCTACTACTGCACAGGAATGTCCCAGCCTGCTGCCAGCTCCTTGGGGAAGCAGCAAGATGCCACCCAGGTGAGCTGCTTCCTCCGCACCTATGAGAGGCAGGAAGTGGCAGGTAACATGGAGCTGCTGGAGACCCAGCCCCAGGGACCCCCTGCCAATATCTGAGTGAACAGTTCTTGCAAGCTAGGAAGGCTGGCCCGAGGATGGCAGTTGTATCTGGCATTTCTTGGAGTGTCTCCAGTTTATTTTGGAAACAGGTTTTGGCAAAAGTTCAAAATGTCAAACTCCTGAGGCTTTCAGTTGTCCTCTCCCTCCGGCTCCAGTGTCGAGTACCCAGTGAGCTGTTGAGAGAGAAATTCTTAAATGTACCGCAGCGTTCAGCTCCTCAGTGGGTTCGGAAACAGCTGGAAGGAAGGGTGTAAAGCCCGCCTGAGATGGCTTCCTCAGGGTTTGCCTCCCAGAGACACCGTGGCATTGGAGCAGGGTGCAGCTGCATTCTGGGGTGGGCCAGCTCGGCACCATCGGCCGATCTTCCTGGACGAGCCAGGGCTCGCTGTTAGGCCGTGGAACCTTCTGGCCGCATCTTTAGCTTCTCTAGAAAGGGCTACTCGACCGTGGGCTCTAAAGAGCCTCCTCACCAGTGAGCGTCCTGCCCAACTCTGGGAAAACCTCCCAGATCCTGGCGGGGAGCTGCTGTGAGCTGTGGGGCCGAGGAGGCTCCCGACGCCCAGTAGTAGGCTGGGGGGACCTGCAGCCGCAGGACCAAGGGATTGATTTCTTTCTCGGTTATAAATTGCAACTGGAGACATGCTGACATGTGAAGGGAAGCTCGTGGATGGGGGGCACAAGGCAATATCCCGAGGAGAGAGACAGGCTCAATTCCAGTTTGCGCGCACTGGACAAAGTGAGGATGGGGTCAGCGAGGGAGAGCAGGTGGAAAGAAAAAAATCCATGCGGCGAACGCCCTGGCTGTGGCAGCGGGTTTATTTTTGAATGAAGGCACCATGCATTTAAATTAAATGTCAGATGTAATTTAGCACCCAGGCATCAAGAGGCTGAGCGTGTGCAGGGAAAGCCGGCAGCTCGCAGGAGTGGCTGAGTGCCTGCTCTCCAGCGCCCACGGAGTGCGCTCGCTCGGGAGGTGTCTCTGTCCTCGGCGTGGGAGGGTCTTTGAGAAGGTGAAGCTTGGCTGTTGCTAAGACACACGAGATCATTGTTTGGAAGGCGTTTTCCCTTCTCTCTCCCTCAAATGACTGTTTAATTGAGGTTACTCTGCACCGCTGACACGCGGTGGAAAGCCCGACATCACTTGGAGAACTTAATCAAGGCTGATGGAGCCGCGCGCACAGAATCCCAACTGCCCGCACCCTTTGTTTCATGTTCACCAAGACCGAGGGGACCATTCCTACGGGATGAGGAAACACATCTAACACAGGCCTTCTAAAGAGAGAGGAGGGAGGGAGGGAGGGATGGAAAGGGGGAAGGACAGAGACCACCGTGAACACATCTCCGCTTTTCGCTATGGGCAGATGCTTCCATAGACATGGGACTTTGCAGCCAAGTGGGACTTGCAGTTGCCCTGGACAGCCCGGCCTTGCGAGACTCCCATTCCGATTTCTTGACCCCTGAGGGTAGATATGCTCAGAAAAGCTCTGGTCTTCAGGCTGCAAGCTCCCGAGCAGGATCCACGAGCTCCTGCACCCCAAACCCCAGGCTCCTCCACACGCACTCACGAGGGGCTCTTCAGAGCCCACCTGCCTGCTCTGTCTGCAGCTCTGGCCTGGCTCGGCTGGGTTTTCTCCAGGGTGGGGGCACCGAGTGGCCAGGGCGGCTAAGACAGGTTGGCCATCACAGGTGTAGCGGGGAACGTCGTAAGTGCTGCCTCAACAACATGGTGACTTGTCCGAACATGACCTGACTTTGCATCCCAGGGAAGGCACAGCCACAGCTTCCCATCCTCTGAGAGCCCCAGAGGGGGCAGGCTTCAGGATGGGTCTGCAGCTGTGCTCTGGGCGAGCACGTGCCCTCGTCCAGTCTCCCTTCCTGGGCAGCCCAGGCCAGAGCTCCCCTGGGGTCGAGCTGGGCGACTGGTGCGCGGTGTGGCTGTCACCCTTTTGTGCTGGCCTCAGGGTCAACGCGCACTCTCTCTTCTGCTTCCCTGTTTCCAGCTGGCTTCTTCACCCGAAAGCCCATCCTCGTCTTATCAAATCTGATCCTCTCCCCAGCCACAAGCTCCCACCTAACCTACAGCCCACCTCCAGGTACAGAGGCCACCCTCTCTGTTTCCGTCTTCCTGCCCTGATTGCAGCTTCCTCTCCTACCTGGAGTCCAGCATCCATATTTTCATCTTTTAGAACAGAGGACACCCATCAAAGGCAGCAAACCACTGACTCTGGAAATCTGTGATTAGAGATGGCCAGCTCCATCTCAGGGATGGCGAGGGCCGCCAAGACAAGGAACAGCCGTGGGACAGACCCTCGCAGCAGCCACGCCGCCTTTCAGAAGGGTTCAGGGCTTATGACAAACATCTGGCAGCACCCACTCCTGCTGGAAGCCCAGACAGTCAGTGACCAGATGGTTTTGCCATGGCCGGCAGTGCTGATAACAGACGGTCAGGAGATGGATTTCTGTGGTGTGGCTGTTCTCCAAGGGGCAGGAACTAACTGGGAGGAAAGGCGGGGTGTCGGCACAGGCACCCTCTCCAGGCCTGCGTGCAGGGGGCAAGGACAGTGAAGCTACTGACACTTATGTCTCTGCTCAAATCCTAAACGCCTCCCTCTGCTGACGTCGGAACCCACACCCCGCGCAGTGGGCTTCTGTCCCCCGGGCAGTGCCATGTGCCAGGCATGTCTGCTGTGCTGTGGGAGGAGACGGTGCTGTTCCCTGGCCGATGCCCACTGGACCCCACAGAGGAACTGTGCTGTGGGGTGTGGTTCCCACAGACCCTTCATCGGGAAAGTTGAGAACTTACAATAGGAAGTGTAGTTTGGTGCAAGCTTTTCCCTTCCTGCCAGCCTCCTGTGCTATCAGAACACAGCCCCAGACACAAAGCCCATTACAAAGTGACCAGCACAGGCACCAGCCACCACTGCTTCTCCTCCCGTCTGGGCCTCACTCCAGCCCTAGTGGCCTCCGTCTGGGCCGCAGCTCACAGCATGGCAGTGACCCTTCCTCCAACACCCCCACCTCTGAAAATGTCCATGTTTCTAGTCGAAGCTCCGTTCTCTACCACGTGCCAGGCCCCACACCTGCCTTAACGCCTCCCCTCCGTTCTCTACCATGTGCCAGGCCCCACACCTGCCTTAACGCCTCCCCTCCGTTCTCTACCATGTGCCAGGCCCCACACCTGCCCTAACGCTTCCCAGATCGTGGCATGCGTGCATGGCTGCAGGTCCCTGCTCTCCTGGCATCTGCAACCGTGCCCTGCCCACCTCCCCGTCCCCCACCGGTTCCTTGCCAGGCAAGAACCAAAGCCACCTAGCACAGCACCCCCATCCGCGGCCATGGCTGCTGTCCAGGCATCACGCCCACACCTGCCACCAGGCCCAGCATCTTGCTCCCTCCTCATCCTGGCACCAGCTGACCCCATCCTTGGGAGGCCTTGGTCTCTGGTTCCCCGCTCCCCTATCTGAAGTGGGTGCTGGTGAGAGGCTGGGAGGACCAGGCGTTGTGGCTGGGATCTGTGGCAACCCAGGAAGGAGCTGCAACTCCGAGGAGTTGGGGTGTGAAAACAATCGTCCACTGTGGGCTCAGGAAGAGCAGGGCCTGGTGCGGGCCCTTCCCGAGGAAGCCTGTGGGGCCTGAGTCCTGGGAGAAGCAAACTCAGGCCTGGAGGCTGAGTCCGTGTGGGGAATGTGGCCTGTGCTGCTGCTCCTGTGGACTCACGAGCCGTCAGGACACTGAGCCACGTTACCTGGTGCTTCTCCAGCATGGGCCTGTCTAGCAAAGCAGTGGCAGTGCTCTGAGCTGGGGGCAGGCGGACATGCCCCGACACTCGGCTTCCACCAAACAGGGTGGTCCAAGCACTGAGTTCTAGAAAGAAAACTGGGAGGAGGCGGTGTGGGACCGTGGGCAGACATCAACCTAGACCAGCCCCTGTCCCCCCTTGGCTGTGTCAGAGGTGACAGTGACAGTGGCCTTCCATTCTCTGCACCCACTGCACTCACGGGACTCCCTCTGCAACTCTGCCAGGGTGGCTTCATCACCACCTTTGGAGGAGGCCGAGGCTCCGGCTGGAAAGGTGCCCAGTCTGGGGGGGCCCTTCTCAAGGGATCTTTGTGTTTTACTGAAGTTCACGGGGTGCCCCCAGCCCTACTTGGCATGCGTGTTTTCTTTGTAGTTAGTTTTCTTTGTAGTTATTGGGATGCCACGTCAAGTTGGTCATTTCAGGTAAAAGGTGGCGTAAACACTGGAGCTGCAGAGAAAGGAAGGTGCTTCATGAACACTCTGCAGCGGGGTGTGCTTCAAGGGGAGGAAGAACTTAGATTATAATGCTTTTGTTGTTGTTGTTTGAGACAGAGTCTCACTCTGTCGCCCAGGCTGGAGTGCAGTGGTGCAGTCTGGGATCACTGAAGCCTCACCTTCCCTGGGCTCAAGCCATCCTCCCACCTCAGCCTCCTGAGGAGCTGGGACTATGGGTGTGCGCTGCCACGCCCGGCTAATTTTTATAATTTTTGTAGAGACAGGGTTTCTCCATGTTGCCCAGGCTGGTCTCAAACTCCTGGGCTCAGCAATCTGCCTGCCTTGGCCTCCCAAAGCGCTGGGATTACAGGCGTGAGCCACCACACCCAGACAATATTATAATTTTACTCTTAAAAATCTTTATGAAAGATGTAAATATGTAAATATTGAGATGTTTAGACTATTCAAGCTGTCAAAGACAAAAACTACCCAGAAACCCAGTACTGTGCCAAATGTTGAGAAAATCTGTAATTCCAAACAGTAGCTTCTGATGATGTTTGTTATTTTAAAAATTACAATTTAGTCCTGGGTACGAATGGGAGTATTTCAGCCTTTCTTGAGAAGTTCATCGAACTTCTAGGGCAGGTTCATGTTTACAGCTGTGTCTTCACGGGGGGGTTTGAGAAGTTGAGTCATCCTCATTTGATTATAAGAAAATGTGGTCCATATACACCGTGGAATACTATGCAACCATAAAAAGAATGAAATCATGTCTTTTGCAGCAACATGGGTGCAGCTGGAGGCCATGATCCTAAGCAAGCTAATGCAGAAACAGAAAACCAAATGCCACATGTTCTCACTTATGAGTGGGAGGTAAGCACTGGGTACCCATGGACACAAAGATGGGAATGACAGACACTGGGGACCCCCAGAGGGAGGGGGTAGGAAGGGGAGAGGGAAGGAGTGAAAAAAAACCACCCCTTGGCTACTATGCTCACTGCCTGGAGACGGATCCATTCTTACTCCAAACCTCAGCATCATGCAATACACCCAGGAAGCAAACCTGCACACGTACCCCCGATTCTAAAATAAATTTGAAAAAAAGAAGAATGCGAGCATTTCCCATTGGTCACAGGCCCTTCCCACGGCAGCGTCCAGCACCCAGGTTCCCAGCCAGGGCTGGGCGGGGCTGGCATTGTGTAGGTAAATGCTGCAGTGGTTTACTTGGCATCTGACTACCCTGACATTTTATGGGTAGGATTTGTACCACTGCACAAAAATAGTTTTAACCAAAAATATACTTGTGAAAAACAGTAGGAAATGCCAGAAAGACCAGACTTCTTTACAATCAAAGAATTACGTGTATGTGTTTTTAAGTGGAATTATCTGGAAGAGTGGCACTTCCAAAAGAGTTTCCATGAATGAGTGAATAATGAAGTTCTAGGTTAGGATCTCGGCTCTGTAATTTATTATCTGGGTAAACCAGGGCAAATTTTTTAATCTTTTAATTAATTTTTTTTTTTTTTGAGACAGGATCTGTCGCCCAGGCTGGAGTGCAGTGGCGCGATCTCGGCTCACTGCAGCCTCTGCCTCTCAGGTTGAAGTGATTCTCCTGCCTCAGCCTCCCGAAGTACCTGGGATTACAGGTGTCCGTCACCACGCCCAGCTAATTTTTGTATTTTTAATAGAGACGGGTTGCACCATGTTGGCCAGGTTGGTCTCAGCTGCCCACCTCAGCCTCCCAAAGTGCTGGGATTACAGGTGTGAGCCACTGCGCCCAGCCTTTAACCTTCTAAAGCTCAGCCTCCTGTTTTGTGGAGTAGCAGTATCTGCGCCTGCGCTGCTCTCACTGCGCAATGGAAGCAATACAGCACGGAGCTTAGCAGGGAAAGGCATGAGAAGCTGCTAGCGTGGGGACTCAAGGAACATCAGCAGTGTCCTTACCTTCATAGGAATTAAGGCCAAACCATTTATGGGTGACTATGTCAGGAGAAGGGAGGAAAAAAAAAAAAAAACCCTGTTCCTGATAGACGAGAAACTGCTCAGGGGAAAGAGGACGTCGCTTTCCATGTCATTATTCCTCAGCCAGGGTTGTGCGGATGGGAGCGCTGGTCACTTAAGCACATGAAGAAGAAAAAGTCTTTCTGCGAAACATGGACGGAGCCTGGAACATGCAGGGCCACGCGTGAGGGACGGGCCGAAGTCAGGGATGTGGGGCCAGGAGCCGCCGTGTGGGGTGGACCCCTGCCAGAAAAGCAAACGGGCAGTGGATGGACTATGGTATGCTATGCGGCTCACAAGATAAAAGTTTTTTTTTAAAACCTCCCCCACCCCCTAAAGAGATCATTATTGTTACGACATAGAAAAACCTAGCCTTGCAGCTGAGGCTGCACCGTGCAGGCAGAGACCGTCGAGGAACCCACAGCAGAATTGGCCATGGGTGAAGGCTGAGTCTGCACCGTGCAGGCAGAGACCGTCGAGGAACCCACAGCAGAAGTGGCCCACGGAGGAGGAGCACTGAGCCGCCTCCTATGGCAGCGACACAGAAGCCAGGCCTGGAAGGCAGAGCGGGAGAGCAGAGAGACATGCTCCACGCCGCAGGCCCAGCTCACCCTCCGACTGAGGCAGGAGTGCTGGAGCTCTCGGCGGCCGGTGGGGACAAGGAGGACCCCGGCAGGCGCGGGCAGGGCCGGGGCAACTGGGCAGGACCCCAGGGAACTTTGGATACGGGCAGAGGAAGGTCTTCCAGTCGGGGAAGGCGGGAGGTGTTAAGATGCAAGCACTTGGCAGTTAGCGGGCTATGAGGATCTTTTCTATCTCGAAGCCGTGCGTCTTTCACCTGTTGTTCGACTGGTATGCTCTGTGGCTCACAAGATACAAGTTTTTTTTTTTAAACCTCCCCCACCCCCTAAATAAATTATTATTGCAATTTAAAAACCTAGCCTTGCAAAACAGCTTTTGAAGAACAAGGGAAATAATTGCTCAAAGCCCACTTGCTCTACAAACAGGTGATTTCAGAGACCTTTGAAAAGAGCCCCAGCTGCTGAACTTAACCTGGGGCCCCGCGAATGAACCAGGCTCCGCCCCTGACGCCCGAGACACCGCGCACAAGAAGGCAGTGCTGGATCTCCCGCAGGGCCCTGAAGCAGCTCTCTGGTGCACTGAAAAGGCAGCACCACGTGGTGGATCATCCACGGGGCAGCCCCAGGGCAAACGTGGTGAAGCCAGGGGTTTGCGGGAGGGACAGCCTTGCCGGTGCGGGGGACGCGGTCTCGGGACTGACGGCGCAGGGGACGCGCGGGATTGACGGAGCGGGAGATGCGGTCGCGGGATGGGATGTGCTCCCCGTAGCTCCCGGCGTGGCTGCAGTGGGCCGGTTGCGGGGAAGAAAAGGGCCGGTGTCGTAATTGACTGGACAGGTACTAATGCCGACCACATCCAAATATGGATGATGACGAGCGTGGTGTTGCCCACAGTCCAGGCCTGTCCAGGCGCCATTCCCCGTGGCCTGCACGCTCCTGGGTCATGCTCCGCTCAGGCGGCTCCTTCAGTGAAGTTGCACAGCAGTCAGGGTAACCTCCATGTCCCCAAAGGGCAAGACCGGCTCAGAGGCGAGGTAGGTGGCACGAGGCCACACAGCTGGTCAGCTCAGCCGGGCTGGGACGCGGGCCCCAGACCGTGGCCCCCGTGCAGCTCTGGGTCCAGCTGGCCAAGGTGGACTTTGCACAAGGTTTGGGAGGCTAAAGGGAGCCGAGGCAGGTGGCAGCTGCTGTGCTGGGAAGGCTGCGTGCGCGGGGCATCCTCTCTTGGCCCGGGTGGGCGGACGCAGGGGTCCCTGGAGGACGGGACTGGCATGTCTCCTGCATCCCGCGGTGTCCTTGCTTTGTGTCCAGGTCCCTCCTGACCCCCGCCCATCCACCCTACTGGCTCAGAGACGTGGAGGCAGTGGTCCCTTCCCCAGCTCCCCACGCTACCCCCCAACCCTTGCTGCACAGCAGAAGGCCCTGCTCAGAAAATCCCTGATTTCACGGGACTCCTAGTGGCTCTGCCTCCCGGATGGAGCCCTGCCTGCGTGGCTGCTCTGTGGCTAACAAACAGCGTGCTCCTGGTTTCCCTGCCACGGTACGCCCCTCCAGCCACGTCAGGCCATTGCTCAACTGGAGGAGTGACATCGCTCCTTAACTTTCATACCTAGGTTTATGTCATACTTTCCAAGTTACACAAGTCACATCAAATAATTCCGACGTTTCAAGAAAAAGGCAAGTGACTCTATTATTCCTCGTTTCTCTTGGGTCTGAAAAATCATGTCCTGTGAAGCCCTTCAGACCTGCCTGGGGTTCGAGTCCCTGGATCTGCCGCTCCCCCCTTCCCTCTCCTGGGAGCATCGGTGCCTGGGCGCCGTGGGCGCAGGCGGTCGGCATTGTTACTTAGGTCCGAGCTAAGTTACGTCTCCTCTGCCCAAATCCTGTCAATGCAGCACCGTGTCCACCATGCGCCAAGGGAGCCTGCTGGGCTGAGATGCACCTGTTTAGGCAGCATCGGGGAGCGATGTTCCTGAGGAGCTGGGAGGCCCTGCTTCCTGGATGGACTGGCTCCTGCGGGAACTCCGGCAGGTGGGAGAACCCGAGGTGGACAGAGGTCTGCTAGTGTCAGCCGCTTGGCCCAGGAGCCTGGCGTGTCCAGTGTCAGCTCCTTGTAAGCCCATCAGGGCCGCTTCATTAAAGTTGAATTTAAAGCCAGACTTTAAAGAATGAACTGCTGTCTTTTCAAAGGCCTCCTTCAAATGGAAGACGGACACGTGTGACTCAGACATGTGGGGCTCACTGTCCGGGGCGGCCTGGCTTTTTATCTTCAGCGGTTGCTGTTATTGGTCAATGATGTTGGTGTTCAGATCTGCAAGTTCTGGACTCATGACTTTGAGGCTTTAAAAATTACTTTAACAAATAATGTACGCGTTGAGAATGGTCGCCTGGGCAGCGATTATAATGGAAGTTCTTTGTGTTATATCTTTCAAAATGTGCCAGTCCATGTGGGGTGCTGGTGCTTTGGGGCACCAGCCCCTGCCCCTCTCTTGGGGAGGAGCTGGATGGAACACAAGTCCAGCACTCACAGAGGCTCATCCTGAGTTGTCTGCCCAGGGAACATCAGTGAGAACCATAGTGTAGGAAGAGACCGGGCGGGCAAAGTGGGACCATCCAGCAGCCCCTACCTGTCAGGGGGACCCACCCCTTCCTTCCAGCCTTCCCTGTTCACAGAGGGTGCTGCAGGCCGCCAGGGTGCTGTCCCCCCAACGCCATATCGGCATTCAGAACAGATGCCATACTCTGCTCTAGGGGCCTCCTTCTGCCCCCACATCACCCACTGAATCTCTCTAACAAACATCCCCCACGTGGTGATCAGTTTCCCACGTGCTCAGGGGGTTCTGCGCCCTGCCCCAAATCTTACAGCTGATGTGGGGTAGAGACAGAATCCCACCCAGGTTTGGCTCCCAGGAGTGTGACCCAGGATGGGACAGCGATTTGTGCTTTGCAGAGAAGTGAACTCAGCAGTCGGGATGCAGGGTGCACGTTCTCGGTGTCCCCACGTTCAGCTCTACATGCACGACCCCAAACTTCCTAAAGGCTCATGACGCAAATAAAACCACAAGTCCTGCCCTCGAGAGATCATTATCTGGGCCCAGAGCAGCTGCTCCACAGAAGTGCGAAGGAGAATGAGCAGAGCCAGTCCTTCCTGTCCTCTCCCTGTCCTCCCTCCCATCCTCCCCACCTCCCACATCTTCCCTGTGCTCCCCGAGTCTTCTCCATGCCCCTCAGCCCTCTTCTGGCCAGATCCAGCCTCACCCCATCACCATTGCTATTCAGCGGTCACAGTCTCCACTGACACCTGCTGGGGTACTTGCCTTTTAACAAGGCATCCAAAATAAGAAAAAACTTTTCAGAATGCTTGTGATTTTTGTATATTGATTTTGTATCCTGAGACTTTGCTGAAGTTGCTTATCAGCTTAAGGAGATTTTGGGCTGAGACAATGGGGTTTTCTAGATATACAATCATGTCGTCTGCAAACAGGGACAATTTGACTTCCTCTTTTCCTAATTAATTGAATACCCTTTATTTCCTTCTCCTGCCTAATTGCCCTGGCCAAGCATTCTTATACACCAACAACAGACAAACAGAGAGCCAAATCATGAGTGAACTCCCATTCACAATTGCTTCAAAGAGAATAAAATACCTAGGAATCCAACTTACAAGGGATGTGAAGGACCTCTTCAAGGAGAACTACAAACCACTGCTCAAGGAAATAAAAGAGGATACAAACAAATGGAAGAACATTCCATGCTCATGGGTAGGAAGAATCAATATCGTGAAAATGGCCATACTGCCCAAGGTAATTTATAGATTCAATGCCATCCCCATCAAGCTACCAATGACTTTCTTCACAGAATTGGAAAAAAACTACTTTAAAGTTCATATGGAATCAAAAAAGAGCCCACATTGCCAAGTCAATCCTAAGCCAAAAGAACAAAGCTGGAGGCATCACACTACCTGACTTCAAACTATACTACAAGGCTACAGTAACCAAAACAGCATGGTACTGGTACCAAAACAGAGATATAGATCAATGGAACAGAACAGAGCCCTCAGAAATAATGCCTCATATCTACAACTATCTGATCTTTGACAAACCTGAGAAAAACAAGCAATGGGGAAAGGATTCCCTATTTAATGAATGGTGCTGGGAAAACTGGCTAGCCATATGTAGAAAGCTGAAACTGGATCCCTTCCTTACACCTTATACAAAAATCAATTCAAGATGGATTAAAGACTTAAACATTAGACCTAAAACCATAAAAACCCTAGAAGAAAACCTAGGCATTACCATTCAGGACATAGGCATGGGCAAGGACTTCATGTCTAAAACGCCAAAAGCAATGGCAACAGAAGACAAAATTGACCAATGGGATCTAATTAAACTAAAGAGCTTCTGCACAGCAAAAGAAACCGCCATCAGAGTGAACAGGCAACCTACAGAATGGGAGAAAATTTTTGCAACCTACTCATCTGACAAAGGGCTAATATCCAGAATCTACAATGAACTCAAACAAATTTACAAGAAAAAAACCCCATCAAAAAGTGGGCGAAGAACATGAACAGACACTTCTCAAAAGAAGACATTTATGCAGCCAAAAAACACATGAAAAAAGGCTCATCATCACTGGCCATCAGAGAAATGCAAATCAAAACCACAATGAGATACCATCTCACACCAGTTAGAATGGCAATCATTAAAAAGTCAGGAAACAACAGGTGCTGGAGAGGGTGTGGAGAAATAGGAACACTTTTACACTGTTGGTGGGACTGCAAACTAGTTCAACCATTGTGGAAGTCAGTGTGGCGATTCCTCAGGGATCTAGAACTGGAAATACCATTTGACCCAGCCATCCCATTACTGGGTATATACCCAAAGGACTATAAATCATGCTGCTATAAAGACACATGCACACGTATGTTTATTGCAGCATTATTCACGATAGCAAAGATTTGGAACCAACCCAAATGTCCAACAATAATAGACTGGATTAAGAAAATGTGGCACATATACACCATGGAATACTATGCAGCCATAAAAAATGATGAGTTCATGTCCTTTGTAGGGACATGGATGAAATTGGAAATCATCATTCTCAGTAAACTATCGCAAAAACAAAAAACCGAACACCGCATATTCTCACTCATAGGTGGGAATTGAACAATGAGATCACATGGACACAGGAAGGGGAATATCACACTCTGGGGACTGTTGTGGGGTGGGGGGAGGGGGGAGGGATAGCAATGGGAGATATACCTAATGCTAGATGACGAGTTAGTGGGTGCAGCGCACCAGCATGGCACATGTATACATATGTAACTAACCTGCACAATGTGCACATGTACCCTAAAACTTAAAGTATAATAATAAAAAAAAAAGAGAAAAAAGAAAAAACTTTTCAGAGCCAAAGGAGAGAGGTGGGAGCATGGTGGCCCCAGGCACCGCATGCAGGGAGGGGTATCAGGGCCCCCCTTGGGAAGTGTGTCCCTGCGTGTCCAAGGCCCTGCAGCCACAATCCAGCCCCGCCCCTGAAAAGCATGTTAGGCCCAGGTGCTGGTGCCGGAGGCTAACCCTCCATCAGAGCCCACAGCCGCCCACTCACGGTCGGTCACAGGGCTAACCCTCCATCAGAGCCCACAGCCGCCCACTCACAGTCGGTCACAGGGCTAACCCTCCATCAGAGCCCACGGCCGCCCACTCATGGTCACAGAGCTAACCATCAGAGCCCACGGCCGCCCACTCATGGTCGGTCACAGGGTTAACCCTCCATCAGAGCCCATGGCTGCCCACTCACAGGCACAGAGTCCATCCCAGGCCACAGTGGGAAGGAGAGGGAGATGCCCTGAGGTGTCCAGTCCAACTCAAATTTCCAGCCACATACACCATGACCTCTGGCGTGATGTGCCCTCCTCATTTTTCTCTCCCTTCCCTTTTCCAACAAAAGCTCAGCCCTGGTGATGACAGCACAGACTCCAGCTCTCCAGAGGCCCAAGACAGCCTGCCCCAGTCACTGTGGCCATGGGGCGGCCTTCGCTCTGAGGCACAGGTTGGCGGTGGCCCTGAGCCAGGCTGGTGTGGCCTCGAGTCCCTTCTCCTAGCCCCAAACCCCACGGCACAGTTGGGGATCCTCTCGGCTGGGTCCCCAGGGGAGCTGCACACTGAGCCTCCACCTCCTTTTCAGAGTTGGGAGCAGCTGCCCCCCTGGCCATGGGGGAAGGCCACGCCCCTAACCTGACTGCAGATTAAATTCTTCTGGAAATCTTAGCCTGCCTCACTGCTTGGTTTCCTCTTCATTCGGAATTAATTCCTCCCTTGGATGCTGAGGGCTGGTGGCTGGTCCTCTCTTCGCAGTGCAGTCACTTGCTGGAGTCTCCTGAGGGCAGGAGAGCCCCGGCAGTGGTAGGAGGAGGCTGCACCGGGCAGGGTTAGGGGCTGCTGGGCCTCTGCTGTGTGGCCACTGCCCCATGTGGCTGCCCCATCCCCCAGAGCACCACGGTGCCCACCTTTTGTTTTCAGAGAAGCAACAACACCTCATATTCAGTCTAACCTGTGACCATTTTCCAAACACTCTCATGTTCGTTTGATCTTCATGATGTCCGTGAACACAGGGAAGCTTTAGTCGCAGCCACATGAGTGGAGCATGTGGAGGCTAGGAGAGGCCATGCACGCACCCTCTAGGATGGCCGTAACTAAACACACACACACAACAAAAACGTGCTGGCGAGAATGCTGAGGAATCGTAACTGGCACACTCTGCAGGGAGGAATATAGCATGATGCAGTCGCTGTTAGTGGGTCCTCAAAAAACTAACCACAGAATCAGCCCAGGACCCAGCAGTTCCACCAGGGGCATATGCCCAAAAGCACCGAATGCAGTGACTCAGAGAGAGATTCGCACGCCCATGTTCATAGCAGCAGCGCTCACAGAAGCCAAGAGGTGAGGCCACCCAAGCGTCCACCAATGGAAGAAAAGATAAACATCATGTGGTCCACCCACACATGGGAATATTACTCAGCACTGAAAAGGCAGAGATTTTGGATGCAGGCTACAACATGGATGAACCTTGAAGATGTTATGCTAAGTGAAATAAGCCAGTCACAATATGATAAACACTGTGTGATTCCACTCGTATGGGGTCCTTAGAGTCATCAGATCCATAGAGACAGAATGTAGGACAGTGGGTCCTGGGGGCTGGGGAGTTAGTGTTTAATGGGGACAGACTTCCAGTGTGGAAAGATGGAAAGAGTTTTAGAAGCAGATAGTGATGATGGTTGCACAGTATTTTGAATGTAAATACTACCACTAAATTGTACATTTAAAGGTTAAAAATCACAAATGTTATATATTTTACCACAATAAAAAATTAAAAAATAAAAGAGTGAGAGACTGCGTGCCTGGCATACAGCAGGGGACAGGAGCCGATTGTCTGTCCTACAGCTGGGAAATGATCCATCCTGCCATTCATCCATCCATCCATCAAGCACTCATCCATCCTTCCATCCTTCATCCACCCATCCATCTACCCATCCATCCATCCATTGATCCATCCATATCCATCCATCCATATCCATCCATCCACCCACCCACCCATCCATCTACCCATCCACTTTCATCCATCCAACCATCCATCATTCTTCCATCCATCCATCCATCATGCACTCATCCATCCCTCCATCCTTCCTCCATCATCCATGCATCCATACCTCCATCCATCCAACCACCCATCCTTCCCCCATCCATCCACTCACTCCCCATCCATCCTTCATCCATCCATCCATCCTTCTTTTATCCATCCAACCATCCATCCATCATTCCTCCATGCATCCATCCTTCACCCATCCATCCATCCTTCTTTCATCCACCCACCCACCTGTCATTCATCATCCATTCTTCCTCCATTCATCCACCCATCCAACCATCCATCCATCTTTCCTTCATCCATCCCTCCATCATCCATCCACCCATCCATCATCCTTTCACCCATCCATCATCCACTCTTCTTCCATCTATCCACCATCCCTCATCCGTACAACCCATCCATCATCCATTCTTCCTCCATCTGTCCACCCTTCACCCATCCATCCATCCTTCTTTCATCCACCCACACACCCACCCATCCATCCATCCTTCCTCCATCCATTCACCCACCCATCCATCATCCATCATCCATTTTTCCTCCATCCACCCATCCACTCATCCATCCATCCATCATTGCTCCATCCATCCACCCACCTACCCATCCATCATCCATTCTTCCTCCATCCGTCCACCCTTCACCCATCCATCCATCCTTCTTTCATCCACCCACATACCCATCCACCCATCCATCATCCATTCTTCATCCATTCACCCTTCACCCATCCATCCATCCTTCTTTCATCCACCCAAACTCCCACTCATCCATCCATCCTTCCTCCATCCATTCACTCACCCATCCATCATCCATTCTTCCTCCATCCATCCACTCATCCACTCATCCATCCATCCATCCATCATTACTCCATCCATCCATCCATCCACCCACCCATCCATCCATCATCCATTCTTCCTCCATCCATCCACCCTTCACCCATCCATCCATCCTTCTTTCATCCACCCACACACCCATCCATCCATCCAACCATCCATCCTTCCTTCATCCACCCATCCATCCAACCAACCATTCATCCTTCCTCCATCCATCCATCCATCTATCCGCCCACCCATCCATCATCCATTCTTCTTCCATTCATCCATCCATCATCCATCTACTTATCCATCATCCACTCTTCTTCCATCCATCCACCATCCCCCATCTGTCCACCAATCCATCCATCCATCCATCCATCCATCCACCCACACACCCATCCATCCATCCAACCATCCATCCTTCCTCCATCCATCCATCCTTCCATCCATTCACCCACACATCCATCATCCATTCTTCTTACATCCATCCACCCATCCATCCTTCCTTCATCCATCCATCCATCATCCATCTACCCATCCATCATCCACTCTTCTTCCATCCAACCACCATCCCTCATCTGTCAACCAAACCATCCATCCATCCATCCATGCATCCATCCTTCTTTCCTCCATCCATCTATCCACCCATCCTTCCTCCATCCATCCATTGATCCACCCATAAACAAACACTTTCACTGAAGAGACACGGGAGGAATCAGAAAAAGCTATTCTCAGAGCTTCTATCCTAGAGAATTGCTGGCACTTGCAGAGTGTGTTTGGATGACTTGGGTGTTCCTCACAAATGCCTGTGCTGCGGGTCCTATTCTTTTCCCCAGTTTATGGAGGAGACACTAAGGTACCCAGAACTGCAAGAACTTGCTCAATGCTCCATAGCATTTGGCTGAGACACCATTTCTTGGAGGACAGGACATTGAAATCTCAGAGGCTGGGTGAGACACAGGGCCACTTTGCAGGTGGCTCTCGAAACACGTCCCCTTGGCTACCTCCGTTGGGGCCTTCACCCTCTACTTGTAGTTGATGGCACCAGAAATGGTCTTTTCTGGGCTTATGTCTCTGTCTTCCTGGCCAGCTCTCAGCACTGGCTCTTGCCGGGTGGGTGGAATCCTGTCTGATGACCCAGCTGGGAGTGGCTTGTCCCCCTCTGGACACTGCCAGCCCTCCTCCTGGCACCACCTAGCACCATACAATAGTCACTCCAGGGGCTGCCATTGCCACAGCTCCCCCTGCAGGGTAGGGGCCAGGCCTTGGCACGTCTTGATTCAAATCCTGGCACTTGCAGTGTAGATGAGGAGCTCTGGGCAAGGTACTGAGCTTCCCTGGCTGCAGGGAGGTTGACATGAAGTAGCCAGGCTGTGCTGGGCACACAGCACTCCACGTCCATCATCCATCTGTGGCTTATGAACGCCTTGTACCAGATTTATCCTTGGACCCTACCAATTTAAGGGGACCACGGAAGCTTCTGAACAAGAAGGAGGGGTTTCCCTGTTCCTCCTGGCATCTTGGTTTTACAATGAGACTGACTGCCATGTTATCTGTGTTCTTAGGATAACCCAATCTTTCTCTCTCCTTCTACCTTGATAATGATGCCTGACACTTTGTACGGTGTTTGCCTTTGCGTACAAATGGCTGGGAAGTCCTCACAGTCACACCCTGCAGTAAGAATGCTCACGAATACAGCAGTAAGAATGCTCCTGCTCTCCCAGGAAACACTGCATTGGGGAAGTGAGTGCCCATGGGTGCAAGTCAGCAACTGGCCAGGGCGACCGCTCTTTCACTGCCAGGCCAGTCTGCCTTCCGTGGTCACAGGCGAACACTGTTCTGTTTGGTGCTGTGCCTCTGCAGTGTGGTGAGAACTGTCTATACTCCTGCTCCTCTTAGAAACGCTGTGTGTGTGTGGAGGCGGTGGGAACCAGTGGTCCTGGCAAGGCCTGCCAGGCTCAGACCTGGAGCAGAGCCAGGCCCCAGCTGAAGCAGAAACTTCCAGCTCTGTGCTCCTTGCTATTTTTTGTTTGTTTGTTTTGTTATTGTTTTTAAACTCAAAAGGCAGGTAGGACTTAGGAGGCAAGAAAGCCCGCTTGAGGGACATTAAGGACATGAAGGCACAGTCATGGGACGCTTCCATACACGATTCCTGCTTATTGCTGACACCGAGCGGTAAAAAGAGAATTGCCACTGTGAGTCACACACTCTGCAGTGTGGCGACTAATATTGATCTTCCAAACGGTAAAAACAAGAACAAACTGGAAAGACAAACTCTACTTCAGATTGCAACTACTTAAGCATCTTTGTTTAACAAAATCAATAAAAAAAGATTTCACTAACAAGACTGCAACCTATATTTGTGGCTATGAATTCCCCAGATTGCTGGAATATCAAATCCAGAGCACAGGAGATGCAGAGAGAGTGAGGCCCAGCAAGCCTGTTTTACAGTCAACGGATCGTCCTCTGCTCCTCCGAGCAGCTCATCTGCGTTCGGCTGTGCGATCTGAGTGTGTTCACTGAAGCACAGCACACGGGCAGAACCGCACGCTACATCCTCAGGCTTTGCTTTGGGGCCAAGAAGCGACCCCCCTACAGTGACAGAGTGTGGCTCCGGGCCGGACGCCCCACGCTGGCCTCCCGTTCCCATATCCCGGCCATGAGAGCACGCGGCCGCAACACTTGTCTTCAAGGAGCCATGATGGGGATGACGTGAGGCTCCCCAGCTCCTGGAGAGGCCAAGGGGGCTGCGACGCCCCAGCCCAGCCCCAGCTCCACCCCAGATGTTTCTGTTCAGAAACAAAATCAGTTACAAAAAAACCTAAACACATCACCCCACAAGAAAAGTCATTTGGAAAAATCATTTGGAAATCACACTGATTTCCTTAAAATATAAAAAACATTGATTTATCTCGATCTCATCCATTCTGCTTAGGGGAGCAGTTTCTGCTTTAATTGTAGTGTCTTTCTTTAGAAAATAAGGACAAGTGATTGGGGTGTTTTGGCACCCACAGTGCCATGGCACCTATGGAGGCTTTAAAGAACAAACATGCCCTCGGAAGAAGTTACTCGGCGAAGTCGACACACACATCTCTGAGTCAGACATTTCCTCACATTGTCCCCTCATTTGTCAACACATAATTACTGTCACCGCTGTGTGCTGACGCTGGCATCAGGTTGCACGTGCCAGTCAGCATAAAAATATGGCCGTAATGTTGGCATAATTTTTCATGATCATCTTCATTAACCACAGCGAACGGGAGGAGCGTTTGCCTGCACCCAGCCATCGTCATGACAACGCCTCCACCGCGGCCAGCCCAGTGTCCACCGAGGGCAGCGGTTGAATGTCCTCATTATTCCGCCCCCCACACGCTTTGCCCGTGCCAAGCAAGGACCAACACATGCCGGTGATTTATCCCCAGGCCACTCCCGACGGCATCCAGGCTTAAGGCGCTGGTCTGATTTCACAGTTTAATTACTGCTAATCTGAGAGGCCACAGCTAATGAGCTGCCGGCAACCAGCTCGCCCTGCTGGAATTCCACACCCCTTCCCTGGATGACTCCCCTCATTGTCGGGGGGGCAGTTAAGGAAGGTGTATTGACTTCTAGGTGTGACAGGTTGACTAAGCACCTATGGAAACATCACAGCAATGTCAACAGGCAAATGGAACACAGATAGGATTTTGGAATTCAGCCACCACAACTCCACTGAAGACAGTATGGGTTGCTGATACACCCCAGACCTTCTGCAGGCCTTGGGTAGAAGATGTTGGGCTTGGCTTTAGCCACGCCACGGGCTCCCTTGGTCCTGCATAAAACACACCCACACATCTTCACCAGGATTTGTAACAGCACAGCAGACATGTCACCAGCCCCTCCACACGGAACTCTCTTCCGCAGCTCCCTGTGGCTCAGCGCGTTCCTGCCTCCCACTCCACCACAGCTCCCTCCCAGACCTGCAGGCTTCACATCTAAAACACTATCCCAGGCGCTCCTCACCTGGATTCCCTGGGGGCTGCCATGGGCCCCTCCCTGCCACCCGCCCCTTTGCACACTTTATTCTTCCCAAGACCCGGCAGATGGCCTGAAAGCACATGTGGGGCTGTGGCCTCTGGTGCAGGCATCATGGCTTACTGGGCTTTAGGATACACACCCCGACCTCGGCTACCGCATCCACGCTTGGCCCCAGCAGCCCGTCCGGCCTGGGGTTCTCTGTGGCTTCCTTGGTCTCCGAGCCTCCCCAGCACTTTCACTTCCCGCTGCCACCGGCCCCGGTGAATGCTGCTTCTGCTTCTAGAACACTGCTCTGCAATTTAGAGATGAAATTCTGGCACCCTTAATTCTATTTGTTTAATCCAGTGAATTTAATTTCAGGAACATATTGGAACCATGCTTAGCTTCAGAGCAGAGTTTATGTAGATAGAATATGACTGGAGGTTTCTGCTGGTTTAAGTGTGTCAGTCACAGAATGCATGATGTCAGTATAACAACTACCCTTGCTTAATGATAACGCTAATTAAATATTCTTAGCAGCATCATGTGGAGAAACTGGATTTTCAATTAAGCACTTTCTGAGGTGAGGGTCTCAGCAGGTCCCACCTCTTTACGTTAAACCGGAGGCTTTCTGCTGTTGTCAGGCCCTGTGCACCCAGAGAATGTAGGAATTATGAATGCGTGAAGCTAATTTCTTTTCATTTTCATTCAATGGTATGTGAGCTTTTCCAAATACATGATCCTACTCTCTCCTTTGGGGAGAAATCTTTGTTAAAAATTAGCGCTATAGGGGAGCTTATTTTGCCCAATGACAGAGCAGATCTGAAAAAAGCATCAAATCTTCCTTCGTATCCTCTAATACATCCCTCCAGCTCGGGTAGACGGACATCCTCGGGAAGAGCGTTCAGCCAGCTCCAGACACAGCAAGGTCATGAGGCGCCTGCATTCAGATTCATTGCTGGGTGTGCTGAAGAGGGCCACACATTCTCTGACGCACTTGCCCCCGAGGTGAGACCTCTGTCCTCCCCACCTGAGTGTGGGGGCTGTGGGCCCGCTTGGCCAGTTGAGGCAGCAGAATGCACCTGCCCCCGAGGTGAGACCTCTGTCCTCCCCACCTGAGTGCGGGGGCTGTGGGCCCGCTTGGCCGGTTGAGGCAGCAGAAGTAACGCCCTGCCAGTTTCTGGCTTCTGGGCTCAGACTCGAGAGACTGGCAGCTCCCATTTCCTCTCTTGGGACACTTGTTCTTGGGAAACTCGCTGCCATTCTGTGAGGAAGCCCAAGCAGCCTTGTGGAGGCTCCACATGCAGAGGCCCAGAGCTCCCAGCCACAGCCCTGGCTGAGCTCCACAACTGCCACCACAATGTGCCAGCTATGTAGACAAGCCCTCTTTGGGGCGAGCCCTCCAGCCCCCTTGGACCACTCCAGCTGATGCCAGTGGAGCAGAAACAAGACTTCCCTGTCATGCCTGACCAGATTATAGAGCTGAGAGCAAAACAGGGCTCTCCAATTTGGGATAATTTGCTATGCAGATATAGATTCCTGGGGTACCTGCCCCCCCATTCCCTGTCTCCATCTCTGATATAAAACTAATCCCACCTGCTGCCAGTTCATGCCCTTCTGTGGCTTGCAGCAGCTGACACTGACACCTCTTTGCCAACTCAATTTAACAGCCACCCACCATGTCACGGGTGCAGAGTGCTGGATCTGGGACTCCACAGAGCAGTGAGACACAGCCCCTGCCCTCAGGGAGCTTACAACTGAGTGGAGGAGAAAGACACACACGGCACAGGGAAAATGTGCTGGCAAAGCAGTGCAAAGGGCAGTGCACACACACAGTCAGAGACACACAAACACACAGACACACATGCAGACACACAAACACACAGACACACACGAACACACACAGACGCACAAACAGACGCAGATACAGACACAAACAGACACACATGCAGACACAGACACACACTCACAGACACAGACACAAACACACAGACACAGACACAGAAACACACAGACACAAGACACAAACAGACACACACGGAGACACAGGCACACATGAACACACACAGACACAGACACAAACACACACAGACAAACACACAGAGACACACACAGACACATACAAAGACACACATACAGACAGACACACACACATACACACGGACACACATGAACACACACAGATACATACACAGACACACGCACACACAGATGCACAGACACCCACACATAGAAATACACACAGATACACACACAGAACACAGACACAAACACACACATGGATACACACACACAGACATACACATACACAGACAGACACACACACAGACACAAACACACACACAGGCACAGACATACACAGACACAGACACACATACATACACAGAGACACACATAGACACAGACACACACACATACACACAGACACAGACGCACACAGACACCCATACAGACATACACAGACACACAAACACACAGACATACAGACACACATAGACACAGACACACACATACACACAGACATACACACACACACATACACACAGACACAGACACACACAGATACACAGACACAAACAGAGACACACATAGACACAAACACAGTTTGTGAGAGCCCTGGCCCGCAGACCATGGTGGCTGCAGTGTGAGCCCAGCAGAGTCCTGCTCAGTGCTGCCCAGAGACCTGGGGCAGGAAGTGGAAAGAGGCCCCTGATCCAGGTGCAGCTCCTGCTCCCGGAACCGCCTGTGAACGACTGTGACCTGGGCGAATCCTGCTGCGGGCGGCCTCAGCTCCACACTCTCTCTAGGATGAATCAGGTGGAGCTGGCACCCAGGGCGACCCCAGAGGACACACGAGGCTCTCGGCATTGGGTCTCAGCGTTGGGTCTCTTGGCCGGGTCTGGGGGGACCCCTGTGGGGGGTGGGAGAACATCTTTTTGAACAAACACGTAAACACATTGAGTCTTTGGTCGCTTTTGCATCTTCTTTCTTCTCTGGCCTCTGCGCCCCAGCTCCTTTGTGCGAGGTCCCATGTGCTGCTAGGCCACGGGTGGCTGTCCAGGGTGTGGCTTGGAGCCGTGGAGCTGGAGGCCTGGGTGATATGGTCCAGGCTGCATGCCGACTCCGGGTGTACACTGGGTACTGGCGGGGTCTTCCTGGGCCGCCTGCTCCCCTGTAAATGGGCAGTGATACAACCAGCTTCCCAGAACTCCCAGAACTGGATCCAGGCCTGGGTGAGAAGGTGCCTTGCACAGATGTCCACACATCATCCTCAGTGCTGGGACCATCAAGATGCTACAGTTTCCAACCAGCAGCTCATCGCGAGGACCTCGTTCTAGGCACTCGCAGCAGACGGAGGCAGGGGTCCTCCACCTCCGCTTTTCTGACCCCTCTCTCTTCAGGACAAGCCTCCTTGGTCATGCTCCGGCTGGCCTTTAGCTGAGGTTTAGCTCTACGCGGACATTAGAAGCACAAACCAAGCACAGCCCCTTCTGTGAGTGGGAGTCATGCCTAGAAAACAAACAGGAGAGAGGCGGCTCCCAACCTCCAGGAGATGAAAACCTGTTCTTACAATGCGTGGGACTCTTACCCTGACGAGCTCTGCAGTCCCCACAGACGCCTTTGCTCAAGCCCACCTGCCTCTTCCCAGCACCACCCGTGTCTTCATCTGGGGAGAAGAGCCCGTGCTCAGTTTTCTCCATCAGCCCGCTGCGAGGGCCAGGGGCCCCTATGCACTCAACATCAGCTTCACAAAGATGTAGTGGGCTGTGGGGCCAGGCGGCTTGCTGTACCTCCCACCCAAGCCCAGGGCCCTCTCACCCAGACTTTGGCCCAGTGCCTCCCTCTGTCTGTGTTGCCTCTGTTCCTTGGAGCTGTATCTTCCTCAGCCTCAATTTCTCTGCCCATTGGTGTCTTTGTTCCCGAACCTCAGCCCCCAGGTCCTGGTTGGTGGGGCTTGTGTCCGCCTCATCCAGTTCTGGACTCTTTGTGATGATGGTAACAATAACTGGACTGATCCAAGTTGAAGTCAGTTGGTGAATGAATCAATAAACTCCAACTGAGAGCTCTACACAGCACATCCTAAGTGTCATACAGAGCACTAAGTAATTTGCTTTTTCATTTATACCTCACTTCATTCCAGAAAGATGCATACAAGTTAGCAAAGTAAACACATATTTAAAAAGAGGTGACAAAAAGAAAACATAGGGAAAACAAGAATGGGAAATAAGTTGGAGCCTAGAATGAGGTTAGTATGCAAAACCCATGACACGGACCTACTTACTAGGAGCTGGCTACGGATGGGGCTGTGAGCTCCCTAGCTGCCACGGGGAAGAGAGGAACAGGATCCACAATGTCTATATGACAAAAACAGACAATCTATTTTTTGAAAATCATAGCTATTCTTAAATTAAAAAAGAAATGTTCCAGGAGTCCTCACAGAGATGCGCTGAATAGAATATGCACCATCCTCCATGATGTCTTTATACAACAGGGCAAGGGAATGCCTAGGGTTGCTGGCCTCAGGCCAAGTAAAAATGGCTATGCAGGAGCCCAGCATGGCCTGGGCATCATGCCTGTCAAGCCTGGTGAATCCTAGGGTGGGCCTGCGAGGGTTTAGAAGGGATAAACCACGTCAATATTATTCTTCCCAACCAAGATTTCACTGGAAGTTGAGCTGCAGTGAGTTTAAGAAAATGGTAAGCCCCCCATCTCTGCACGCAGTTCATAATCTAGGTTGTGAGACCACACACCGGCTCATGTGCACAAGACAGTGTGCGTGGAGGGTGACAGTGTCGGCAAAAGTGGGCTCAGGGCTCAGAGCTGTAACTGCGGTTAAGGGGTTAGGAAGCTGGCCTTGGGCTGGATCCAGGACCCCAGAGTGACTCAGCCTCATGGTACAGCAGAGGGCACGCCCGACAGGGGAGGTCTTCGAGTCAACAATGGGAAGTAGAAATCTGCCCAAGATGAGGGGACCAGTCCGAGTGGGGAGGCTTCCAAAGATGAGAGGACCAGTCCGACGGGGGAGGCTTCCTCTAGAGGAACCATGAGGACAAGTCAGAGTGGAGGTAAAAGGCCTGAAATAATAACTGGTCAAGGAACATGGTCTCTTCTTCTGCTACTTACATGCCAGAGTCTCTGAAAGTTCTTGATGAGAACAGTGACACAATGAAAGCAAAGTCAGGGAAGATGAGAAGGTGGCCTTGCATCCTAACTGCTGTCAGCAGAGTCTGAGGGCCTGAAAACGTCCACATGCCAGGGAGTCCCTCAGTCCTCAGGAAGGAGAAACGTTTCATGAAAACGCGAACAGTCTCGGAACGCCTCACTCCGTCACGGCAGTGTAGGCTCAGATGTGACTTGGGAAGATGGCGCCACTCTGCAGGACGCCGTGTGTGGCAACCACTCGCTCTCACCCTTCGGGTCTGCGGCAGCTACTGTCATATGAGCTGCTCTTTAGAGGGACAGAAATCCACAGGACCCCAGTTTCCACCCAAATTCATGAGCCGCAGTGGCCAGGCTACCTCACCTCACCCTGCTGGGTCTGGGCAGTCCCTATTCTCCCATAGGCATAACGGGGACAGTGAAGGTGCAACCAGCATGGACAGGGCCGAGGGATGGAAGGAAAACAAACCCTTGCAGTTCAACCCACAGGGCGGAGGCGGCAGCGTGAGAAGCTTCCTGAATACAGGACTCGATGCCTCGAGGAGAGGAGCGTGGAGCACGCCCGGGGCACATGGGGACACAGCAGCGCTGGGAAGGCTTCGTCCTCGGGAGCCGGCGCTCACATGCAGGGAGTCGCCCAGGACAGCAAGCCTGGGTGTGGGGCTGAGGCGGGCGCAGCCTCGGGGCAGTCCCCACACAAGGGCAGGACGGAGCCTGGACGGAAGCTCCACGCCCTGGGGTACCTGCTGGGGCATCCAGGGTTTCCTGCCCCAGGCCCGGGTCATGGTGTCCCCCGCAGGCCTGCAGGCTGGGTTCCTCACAGGGCATCTGCTCACCAAGTAAGCCTGGCGTGGCCAGAACTGTGTTTCTTGAGTTGTTTGAGCCGTTTCTGTTCATGACCTACAGTAACGCCGCTGTCTCTGTGATGCTATAGGGATGGTCAGTGAGGAGACCGCCGCAAAATGCAGACTCAGAGGTGTGCATAGGTGGGCTGGGCCCGGGGGGATAGCCGCAGCCAGCTGTGTACTCGGAGGTGGGCAAGGAGTGAGGCGGAGGGGGCGTCACCTCCTCCCTCTCCTCCTCCTCTTCCTCCCTCTTCTCTTCCTCCCTCCTCTCCACCTCCTCTCTCCTCTCCTTTTTCACCTCCTCCCTCTCCTCCTCCCTCCTCTCCTTTTTCACCTCCTCCCTGTCCTCCTTCTCCCTCTCCTTCACTTCCTCCCTCTCCTCCTCCATCTCCTCCTCCTCCTTCTCATCTTCCTCCCTCCTCTCCCTCTCCTCCTCCCTCCTCTTCCTCTTCACCTCCTCCCTGTCCTCCTTCTCCCTCTCCTCTTCCTCCCTCTCCTCCTCCTCCATCTCCTCCTCCTCCTTCTCCTCTTCCTCCCTCCTCTCTCTTCTTCCTCACTCTCCTCCTCCTCCATCTCCTCCTCCTCCTCCTCTTCCTCCCTCCTCTGTCTCTCCTCTTCCTCACTCTCCTCCTCCTCCCTCTCCTTCTCCCTCTCCTCCTCCCTCTCCTTCTCCCTCTCCTCCTCCCTCTCCTTCTCCCTCTCCTCTCTCTCCTTCTCCCTCTCCTCCTCTCTCTCCTTCTCCCTCTCCTCCTCCCTCTTCTTCTCCCTCTCCTCCTCTCTCCTCCTCCCTACCTCTCCACTCCCCTCCTCTGGTGCTGTGGCTTTCCCTCTTTTCCTCCTCTCTTCCTCCCTCCTCTGCTCCTCCCTCCTCCTGCCTCCCTCTCCTCCGCCTCCCTCTCCTCCTCCCTCTCCTCATGCTCTCTCCTCCCTCTCCTCCTACCTTTCCTCCTCCTCTTCCTCCCTCTCCTCCTCCCTTTCCTCCTCCACTTCCTCCTCCCTCTCCTCCCTCTCTTCCTCCTCCCTCTCCTCCTCCTCCCTCTCCTCCTCCTCCCTCTCCTCCTCCATCTCCTCCTCCTTCTCCCCCTCCTCCTCGCTCTTCTCCTCGTCCTTCCTCTCCTCTTCCTCTTCCCTCTCCTCCTCCTCCATCTTCTCCTTCTCCTCCTCCCTCTCCTCCTCTTCCCTCTCCTCCTCTTCCCTCTCCTCCTCCTCCCTACCTCTCCACTCCCCTCCTCTGGTGCTGTGGCTTTCCCTCTTTTCCTCCTCTCTTCCTTTCCCTCATTTTCTTTCTCCGCTTTTCCTGTTCTCTTTTCAACACTTTTATCCTCAGTATCATTTTCTCCACACACAATTCAATTTTAGAGAATGCTTGCATTTTTTTCACATTCAAACAGATCCACAAATTCTTGTTAGATACACAAGAAACACATACAAGTGGAATTGGAAACACGCCCATGTCGGTCGCTGAGTTACAGAAGGGGCCATGCACTGTGACTTCCTGATGCCAGAGGACACGCAGTGCCCCACACTGCTAAGCTCAGGGACGCAGCCTTCCTGATGCCGGAGGACACGCAGTGCCCCACACTGCTAAGCTCAGGGATGCAGCCTTCTTGATGCCGGAGGACACGCAGTGCCCCACACTGCTAAGCTCAGGGACGCAGCCTTCCTGATGCCGGAGGACACGCAGTGCCCCACACTGCTAAGCTCAGGGATGCAGCAAGGCTCTGGCAGATCCTGCCTGTCATGTCCTGTCCCCCGGACACTATGAAAGGGCAGTCCCGCTGCATCAGGGACATGCATGCTCCTCTCACACATGTGGATTCAGAGCTAGGGCCAGAAGGTGTGCTTAGGCACAGCAGTCATTCCTGGGCTGCTGACATAATTCAGCGAACTTCACATCCCAGTGGGAAGGGCAGGCTCGCTCATTTATAATCAGTCTGCATGCAATGCCTACAGTAAAACTTTGAAATAGAAATGAAAATTTCTTTATTGTTATTTACTTTAAAAGCACTGAAAGATCCACCAGAATAAGATGTCTGCTGAAAAGCTAGTTTCTTTCAACCACTGCTGAGGAAAATGGTTTAATCCATAATATTGATGCATAATTGACTTGTATAACATTAAAGGACCTTTAGAAAAATCTTTACACCACAGCAAAAAAAAAAAAAAAAATACCCCAATTCAAACCAAACGAGAGCAAAAACCAATTCAGACAGGAACCACTGAAGGAATTAAAAGTTACAGAACCAGAGTCTAAAGTGAGCACAGCAAACTCCGCGGTGACACCAGAGCTCCAAGAACACACAGACTCCCTGTTTTCCTCCCTGGGGACAGGCTAGGAAGTGAGGAAGGCAACTGACCTTCTCAAAAGCCAACGCTCCGCCTGCATGGCTCAGGCTGACGACTAAACATGTCCACGTGAATGCAGGCGTCGAATGCCCAAGTACATGTGAATACAGGTGTCGAATGCCCACGTAAACATGTACATGTGAATACAGGCATCAAATGCCCACGTACATGTGATTACAGTTGTTGAATGCCCACGTAAACATGTCCACGTGAATACAGGTGTTGAATGCCCACGTACATGTGAATACAGGCATCAAATGCCCACGTAAACATGTACACAGGTGAATGAATACAGGTGTTGGGTGCCCATGTAAACATGTACACGTGAATACAGGTATCGAATGCCTATGTAAACATGTACATGTGAATACAGGTGTTGGATGCCCACATACATGTGCATTCAGGTGTTGAATGTCCACATAAACATGTACATGTGAATACAGGTATCGAATGCCTATGTAGACATGTACACATGAATACAGGCACTGGATGCCCACGTAAACATGTCCATGTGAATACATGCACTGAACGCCCATGTAAACATGTCCACCTGAATACAGGTGCCGAATGCCCACGTAAACATGTCCACGTGAATACGGGTGCCGAATGCCCACATAAACATGTCCACGTGAATACAGGTGCCGCCGAATGCCCACATAAACATGTCCACGTGAATACAGGCGCTGAATGCCCACATATGCAACAAGTCAATGTCTTCCTATGCCACTGCTCTCTGGACAGACCACATTCTGAAAACAATGATGAAGCCACACAGTGCTCAGCTCAAGTCCCAGGAACTTCCTGCTTTATGCTGGAAACGGGCCACAGCGCTCAAGCAGAGCTCCGCTCACAGCCAGGTGGCCGTGTTCTCTGAGGGGTTGTGCCGGGGTCTTCAGACAGTGCCCTCCCTGGGGTCTTGGGACCCTCAAGCAAATGCCACCTAGAAGCAAAACCTGACTTAGGTCACCAGGTGCAGGCCTTACATATAGAGGTAGTAGCGCTACATTGAGGATGCTGGACACGGCTTATCTCCTGGAGGAGGGCTGCCTCCTTGCCATGGGAGCCCCGCCCTGGCTGCCAGGCTTCCCTGGGCAAGGTCAGCAAGGCATGTGCTCGGTGGAGGAGGCCTAACTGTTGCTACTCTTGGTGACCTGAGGTGAAAGGTCACGTGCTGGTCGCTTGTGCTGAGCAAGGCCTTGCTTCTCATCTGACCAAAGAAGACCGTGTTTCCTGGGACCCTGCAGGCTGCCAGAATGACCGCCCACCCGCTGCCCCTCACCACACACTGCTGCACTGTGCTCCACATCCTGACAGGCAGCAGGAACCCCCAAATTCCCTCCTCAGGCCAGTGCCCTCCACGTTGTCCCCAGCAGGGCGACGGAGGGTGGGGGCGGCAGGCTGTCTCCGGTGCTTGCCTTCTCTGTCTAAATAACTTGCTTCTCACCCTGCTGCAGGAGTCTCCGAAGCACAAAGGCTGACCCTAGACTCTGGCCAGGACGAGCTGGGGTGAGGGGCCCCGGCCAGAAGGATGTCCTGATGAGGGGTCCTGAGGGTCTGGGGAAGGCGCTGTGGCCTGAATGCTCACCCTATGGCTGGGTCACCCAGGGCACCCCGAGGTCATCAGCCTGAGGAAGAGTGCTGGGTGATTTCATTCTCCCTGGTTGCTGAAAATGAGCAGTGTGTGTCCTCCCAAGCAGGGCTGGGACGCCACTGATACCATCGACGTACAACACGCCGCAAGCAGCCCTCGAGGAATGGAAAACTCTCAGACTGCTGTGTCCACACGGGTTAATAAAAATGCTGACCCCAGTTCCCAAGGTCCACAATGTCCATGGAGAGTAGGATTTTACACACTTATTGATGAACTGCTATGAGTTTTTGATGATGGCTTGGCTAGTTGAATTCTGATTCGATACTTTATAATTAGGGCTCACTAGTGACGAGCAAAAGCCCGTGAAACTGTCTTTGTTTATGATCCCACCACGTATCTCTACTATTAAAGAATTAGCCTCTGGGCCGTGTGTCCTCCTGGTCTACCTCCAGCACAAGGACGTTCCTCAGAGCAAGGCATTTGCTCGCTCCCCTTGCTCCTTACACACGGCCTTCCCACTCCCAGCTAACACCTGAAATAGGATGGGATAGTGCACACTCTGAAGGTGAAGCTTTAGGTGACGTCGAAGCATCCAGCCATATCTGTCAGTTTATATAAGGGGTGGCGGCTGCTCAGCGAGGCCTCAGGAGTGTGAAGGAGGCTTGGCTGGCGGAGGGGCCGTGCTGCTGGATCAGATGGCGGAACACGGCCCAGAGCAACTGAAGTTCGCTTGTCCCCACAGGCAGCTCGACATGGTGCAGACCGTGGCAGCCAAGTCAGGCATACAGCAGCCCTCTTGCTGGCTTCCAGTACTGGCTCTGCACGCCTTCACCGTGAGAGGCCCCTGGACAAGGGACTGCCTTCCTCTGTGCCTCAGTTTCCCTGTTTGCACAATGGGGCTTCACCCATTTCGCAGGGTGGTCACGGGTATTCCCTATGTTGGAATGCATGATGGGGCCACACCCAGCACGGAGAGAGCACTTGACACTGTTGCTTGCATGTGCCCCCGGGCCAAGGTGGACGAGCTCTCCAAACTCGCTTTCTCTGCCTCATCCGTGATGAGCTGCCCCGCGGGTCCCCACAGATCAATCAGGACAGAATACTCACTAACCAAAGGTCGGTTTCACTTCTCTCCTCAGTGCACACCTGAACTCTCACCACCCCCACCGAGGCAGTGGGCAGCCCCTGAGCCAGGCAGCTCCAGGCCAAACCTTCTCTGGCCTCCTGCCGCTCACGGCCACAATCACCCCACATCCTGGTCCACTCACACCCACGTCACCCACATGCGGCTCCTTCTAGCCATGCTCACTCCCCTCTGCGGAACAAGACAAGGGCTCCCTTCGCCTGGCTGTGGTAGTGCTTGCGGTCCTATGGCCAGAGCACTGCCCTGCCACAGCCCTGACCCCACAGCACCAGGCCTTTTGATGAAAAGTCTGTCCTTCCCAGGTCCACGGCTGCTTTTGATTTGATATATTACACATGGGCTAGTGTTATTATCATCTCCTCAAAGTGGAGGGTCTGCTACATTACCGCCTGGACATGTCCGGACCAAAACATATTTTCAGAATAACACACAGTTAACCCTCCCTGTGCCAAGTTGTTGATGTCAAGTCTCTTTGAGGACAGTGCTTACAACATGCGTGCCCTTCTTCTGGTCCCAGCAAATGCAGCAAACACCATCGAATCAGGCCAGACTCGACCACTGCAATCAATTCTTCTGGGTCTGCTCTCAGACTTCAAGGTGAGATGAATCTGTACTAAGAAAACTTCCACTTTTTCAATACTATCCCAGAGAGCCTGGTTTTATTGTCATGGGTTCCCATCTCATACAAGTTCGAGTATGAAGCGTGCAGCTGGGAGAGCTCCTGGATGGTGCATGGCGGAAGCTTCCTGACTGAGGACAAGCTGACCCAGCTTCCTCCCAGGTTGCTTTCTTGCCCTCAGTCAAATCGTTATTTCTGCATCTTTATCAAGTCATCTGACTTCACAGTACCCAAAACGTATATTACTTCAGCCTCAATACCCTGCCCCAGCCTCCCAGCCAGCTCCAAATCACATCCCACTGCTGTCGCTGACTTCTGTGGCAAACCACACCCCACTGACTTTGGCAGCAGCTGTCAGCCCTTTCTGGGCTTTCAGGGGTGGATGTGAAATGCCCACACAGCAGCTTCAGGCAGATGCCCATATGCCTGAGAAGCTTCCTGCATTTTCAGCCACCACTGTCCTCCAAGCTTGCCACAGACGGGAGTAGGTTCCCAGGTGCGGGCACACAGGTATGGCCTCGCCTATGCTATCTCTTTCACTGTCCCTAGGGAATAGACCTGGGCTGGCTTTGCCAAAGGTGTGGGTGGATTTGCCCTGATGGCTTACCCAGGCCTCGCCTGCTCTGCACAGGACCGTAGACCCCATGCTGAGGGGCGGCCACAGAGGTGTGCAGTGCAAAGCCACAGACCAAACTGCAAGTAATTTGTTCATGTAAGAATTCAGCTCATGAGCTCAGCCCTGGCACAGGCTCCAGTCAACCACGCTAAGTGGGTCTGGACTCAGGCATCCGAGAATTAATGGGGCCCCGGGTTGGGATGCATGCAGTGCCAGGCGGAATCGGTTCCAGCAGGCGTCTGGGAGGGCCGGTTTGGCCCCAGTATCTGAAAACGGTGAATCAGCTCTAAGGGTAGGAGCTGCAGCCCGCCCTCCACAGAGGGGGTCCAGGGCTTCTTACTGATCATCCAGGCATGGGAAGCTGATCAGGGTCAACCTATGAAATCACACATCCCAGTTATGTTGTCTATAATCTTAACAGAAACAGCAGAAATAACCTGAGAGAGAGGAGCCATCTAAAAACTCATACATGTATAATATACCAACTGCCCCCAGGGGTCCCTGAAAGAACGACGAGTGTCGGTACTCCAAGAAATTATTTGGAAAATGACTACCCAAGAGATGATCACACAGCATCGCATCAACATTCAGGATTTCTTTCCAGCACAAAAATGCCCAGTTTGGAAAGAGGAATCAGAGGAAAATGGACAATGAAAATAAAGGCTTTGCTCTCTTTCCTTAAATAGTAGAGGCGCTGGGATGACAGAATGTGCTGGCTGCTTGACTCGGGGAGCCTTGAGTGCACTCGGTGCTGGCTGGCTAACATGGTCTGACTGTGTCCCCACCCAAATCTCATCTTGAATTGTCCCATAATCCCCACATGTTGGGGGAGTGACCTGGTGGGAGGTAATTGCATCACAGGGGTGGATACCCCATGCTGTTCTCATGATAGTGACCGAGTTCTCACAAGATCTGACGGTTTTATCATGGGCTTTTCCCCCTTTGCTCGGCACTTCTCCTTGCTGCCGCCACGTGAAGAAGAACATGTTTGCTTCCCCTTCTGCTGTGATTGTAAGTTTCCTGAGGCCTCCTCAGCCCTGCAGAACTGTGAGTCCATTAAACCTCTTTCCTTCATAAATTACCCAGTCTTGGGTGTGTCTTTATTAGCAGCGTGAGAACAGACGAATACACCTGCCTTGGCGGTGCTGTGACACGTGGCCTGTTACTCACGTTCCCATCTGAATATGTAATGCACAATGGACACTCCCATGCACAGCACACCGGGAGGGTCCTCACCACACAGCCTGGGACATACGTCCATCCATACCTAGGAAGGTTCATCGAACGCATGTCTGAGCCTGATGTTCCTCGGCACTGCTGGCCCAAGAGGAGCTGACAGCCCACAATCCTGAACATTACCTTGTGCTTATTTAATCTAGTATGAAGTCATCTTACTAAGAACTCCACTAATTCTGAGCATGCAGGGGCCAGCGGAGTCCATACTAAAGTTGACCGATCCTGGCTATAAAAAGTTCTGCAAAGAAAAGTATGGCAGTAAACAAGATTCCAGGAGCCCTCTTGAAACAGCAGAGAAGACGCCCTGGCAGGAAGGCCTGTCCCACCTGTGGGTCCTGGATTCAGCCTCCCGCCCCACTCCCACTTACTCGGAACAGGGACTTTCCCATGTGGATTCGTATGACCCTACTTTTGAGTGATTTCCTCCGGAGGCTGTTCACATTTCATCTTTGCTCCAGGCCCTCTGAGGCTTGAACACTGCCCTGTTTTCATTCAAGAAGAAAAGTGAAACCAGGAAGGCAGGTGTCTTTCCAGAGGGCTGGGAGGCTGGTTGAATGGAGGATATTCCATCTCTTACTCTTTCAAGCAGAGCGCAGCTGCTGTCCCACAGGAGTAAATTCAGGATGAGTGGCTGAAACATTTCCCACATGGTTGGAGTTTAAGTCTCTCAAGGTAGAGACACTCATGGTGTAAGTGCAGAGGAGGAGAAGGAAGCTGGGATGGGTGTGTTTAGTTCTGCTTCCAGGGACTATTCCTAAATTCTGCTTGTGGGCAGGGCACAGGCAGCTCAACGTTAGGCCAGGGACCAATCTTACCACGTGGCTTCTGGCCCAGAGCAGCTCGTGAGTCAGCCTGGCCTAGTTGGAAAGGCACCAACTAGGTCTCAGGAGGCCAAGTGGGGGGCCTGCCCCCACCTCTGGGGTCTCAGCATCTGCACAGTGACGGATTAGGGGGGCGGTTCAGCAGCCCCTCGAACCTTCACCCGGGGCTCGTTTGCTGCTTCACACTGGAGGAGGTGCTCCTAGCAAGATGCCGACCTGCAGCAGCGCCCACAAGGCTCAGGGCTGGGTCCAGCCTCACCTGCAAAAGCTGTGGCTGCGGGAACCTTCCTGCCCTGCAGGAACCACCTCAGCCTCAGCCTCAGCGCTGGAGAGAAAGCCCTATCCCGCTCGGCCTGACCCTCCTCTCCACAAAGGGCTTGAAGAGCAACTGACCCATGAAACGGGCAGGGGCTGGGCTGATCCCATATGAAACGGGCAGGGGCTGGGCTGATCCCGTATGAAACGGGCAGGGGCTGGGCTGATCCCGTATGAAACGGGCAGGGGCTGAGCTGATCCCGTGGCAGTGCAAACCGAGGGCCCCCTGGGTCTCGACATTTCACCGCAAACCCTGACCCCACACCCGGCCTCTCTGCAGCTAATGGAAGGAAATGAACCCATCGTGTGGGGCGACATAGGGGCCCAGGGGGCCTGGACAAGTAATAAGGTCAAGATATTTTTGGACTTGTTCAAATGGGTGGGCAGCTGTTTCTCTGAGGAAACGCGCCCCTCCCCAGTGGCCAGGTGAGCAGTGGGGCTGGAGAGGAGAGCAGAGGGAGCCGAGGCCCTCTGTCCAGGCGGCTGAGGTCACGCGGTCTCTTCAGTTTCCATTTTTCCACTTGTAACGGCTGTTACAGCCGCTGTTTCATCGCGTCGTCATAGGAGTTGAACAAAGCTGTGTGTGTGTTTCCAGAATGTTGGCACAGCGGCGAGAAGGCTGACCGAACACCGAGAAGCAGCCAGCACAGGCTCTCCACAGGGGCTCTGGCATGGAGCAGGATAACCCGGGCCCACGTGGGGACACGCCCCGCCCCACAGGCTTGCACCGGGGTGCGGCCTGCCCTGTCTGGGGCGCCAAGGCCAGTGGTGTAAATCCACACTCTATGGTGACGGTGGATCCACAGCTGCCGCGGGTCCCCCCAACCCCAAAGCCACTGAGTGAAAACAGACCACGGTGCTCCAAAACGAAATCGCCCCCGAGGATGAAAGGGGGTGGTGGAAAAGGCCTTGGAGCCTGGGGCAGGGCTCAGAGGGGCCCCAGGCCGGCCCCACTCCCAGACTAGAGCCAGCACTCGCGGGCAGGCCTCCCCAGGACCAGAGCGCCTGCGACCTGCCTGGGTGCCATCCGCAAACCTGGTCTCTGCTGAAATCTGAACAGTCTACACTGGACAGACATGGAGGGAAGCTTCTCCCAGGACCAGGGTCCCTGCTTTCTGCAGACGGTGGGCAGAGGGCAGAGACGGAGACCGTGGGCACAGCACACCAAGGGGGAGCCTGCTCAGAGATGGGCATGGGGCCGGCCTGGGAAGCATGGCGGGAGGGGAGAAGAATCGCGATCCTTTCCAGGTACACAGTCTAGCAGCTGCCACGCCCGGCTGGGAGCTGAGACGCGCAGGGGGCCCAGCTGAAGCCTGCGTTTTCCCTTCTGCACAACAGCGGAGGTTTTCCTGGAGTTCATAATCACTGGTTTTTTTTGTGTGCGTGTTCACCAGCCTGCTCACCTGGGTAGCAGGGTGGGAGGGCCGGGTGGGGATGGCTGCAGGGACCCCCTGGGCCGGCTCTGGGTGCTGCTGCTCCCAGGAGAGATGGTCCCGTGCAAGTGCCAGGCCCCTGCTGTTTGGCCTCCTCTGCCCCCTGTGGGGCACGAGCGTTAGCCGCACTCCGAGTGCGCGCCAAGGGCTTCAGCTGGCTGAGCGCTTTTGCTGTGGGGTGGATCCCAGGCCCTCGGGCCAGCCCTGCGTGGGGTTCTCCCTGCTCACACAAACCACACGGGGAACGGCACAGGTAATATTAACCAGGACTAGCACCTAGGGCCCCACAGGTACCGTTCACGTATCCTGGCTTTAGTCTTGCTGGTTTTCTCACCAGCATTTAGTGCTAGTTCAGTATTTATTTAAATCAACATGTTTTGAAAAACTGCCTAAGTATCTGAATTGTTATAAAGTTTAAGGACCATGAAGTCTAAGAAGGAAGATTATTTATTGTACTTCTGGGAAAAGCCCCCAGAGGTGGGCTCATTTGCTGTGATCTTCGTCCCATTCACAAAGCACTCCTGGGCACTGTCCCAGCTGTGGATGGCACTGGAAACTGGGCTTGTCCACAGCGTGAGTCCCTTGAGGCTGGAAGCACAGAGTGGCTGTCCCCAGGTAGTTGGTGACGGGGTGAGGACCGGGCTCGCTCCCACTCTCAGGAGCCTCACTATGGTCCCCAGAGATAGAGGACGGTGAGGCGCTGCCGGTGAGGGCCACACCAGGCCACATCCGTGCAGAAAGCACCCTCTCATTGCAATGTGTTTGGAAACATGAATTCATGTGGCAGCGGTAACATTTAGAAGAGAAACAGCCACATTTAAAAACGCGTAAGACTCACAGAACCTCAGCCTGCTGTGGTTTCATCATCAGGTGGGTGGCACATTCCAGCGGCTTTGGCCTTGCCTGCCCAGTGCCCAGAGCTCAGTGCCCACTGTGGGAAGTGCAGGGAGCAGCTCTGGCACATCCCACAGTGCTGTCTGCACCACCGCACACAGAGTGCCAGTGTCAGCTGTAGGTCCCATGGCCTGAGGAAGCCACTGAGCCTGGGACAGCTTGAGGGGCAGGAGGCGGACACAGGTGCGGCGGGGGACGCGGGGGTGGCTGCCCGGGAGGCGGACGCGGGTGCGGCGGGGGACGCGGGGGTGGCTGCCCGGGAGGCGGACGCGGGTGCGGCGGGGGACGCGGGGGTGGCTGCCCGGGAGGCGGACGCGGGTGCGGCGGGGGACGCGGGGGTGGCTGCCCGGGACTGGCTCTTCTGGAAGCAATTCGTGGGAAACCCACTTGGATGCCACTTATGACCCCCGCGTGCCAGTGGATGCCCACAACCCCTCTGGGGTGTCGGGGATCAGGTGAGCAAGGGGGCTCATCCGTGGCCTCCAGGCCCCACCTTGATGGAAACTGCGACAGGAGGGGGTCTGGCCTCTGCTGGGAGTGACATCTGAAGATGCCATAGAAAGTCTGGCGCAGCAGCCGGTGGGCCTGGGGGGCGCGTGGACTCCCAGCTGTTGCTGTGCCTGGGTCACCCCAGTGGGCAGGGCGGGCAGGGGGCTTCCCCACAGTCTAGGGGGCCAGGAGAGCCCCTGGGCCTCACGTCCTGCTTCTCTCCTTGTCCTTCATGTCTTGTAGGCGACCCCACAGAGAGAGAGGCAGAGGAGAGTGGCCGTGACCTGGAGGACAAGGACATGCATTTCACACTGACCGGGGCCTCCCTGGGACACCCTGAACACCTGCTCTGTGGGAGACGGGGTGGTGTTTGAGCTGGTGCCATCTGGGTCCCCTGGGGTGGTGGCTGGGTGAGCCCAGCCCCATCTTTCCCTCGGACTTCATTTGTGCTCATGGCTGGGGGAGGCACCTGGGGGCCCCGTCCAAGCTGCCAAGGGCTGGGGTGGGCTGTTCCCCTCTTGGCATCTCCCTCACACCTCTGCACCCCCAGTGGATAAAAGCTGCTGGCAACATCGACGTCCCCAAGACACTGACAGGCCTGGAGGTCTGGACAATGGGGAGCCAGCACCGGGTCCCCTGGGAACCACGCAGCCGGGGCCTGGAGGCCGACACAAGCCAGACCCAGCCTCTCTGCCATTCGCAAATCCCAGTGTTCAAACAGAGTTCTGCCAAAGAAGAGAAGAACCAGTAAAAAGCAGGGAAGAGGCTGGGCGCGGTGGCTCATGCCTGTAATCCCAGCACTTTGGGAGGCTGAGGCGGGCGGATCACGAGGTCAGGAGATCGAGATCATCCCGGCTAACATGGTGAAACTCCGTCTCTACTAAAAGTACAAAAAAGTAGCCAGGTGTGGTAGCATGAGCCTGTAGTCCCAGCTACTGGGGAGGCTGAGGCAGGAGATTCACTTGAACCTGGGAGGCGGAGGTTGCAGTGAGCTGAGATTGCACCACTGCACTCCAGCCTGGGAAACAGAATGAGACTCCATCTCAAAAAAAAAAAAAAAAAAGAAAGTACAGGAAGCTTTCAGCCTCCTTGGCAAGACACTGCTGTCTGGAGACCCTGGGAGAAGTGTGCCATCAACCAACGTGACCAGAACCCATCCTGGTTTAGGGAGGAGCTCTCCACAGGCCTCCACGGGGCTGGAGCAGTCCCCAAGCTCCAAAGAGTCCCCCACGACCTCTTAGTCGTCACCCCTAGGAAGGGCCTAGAAGGCAGATTTCCCACCATGAGAAGCCACATGGAGCCCAGCTCCCAGGCATGCAGCCCTGCTGGGCTATGCGGGGAAGATGTGTGCTCTGAAGGCCTCTGGGGCCACCCAACTGCCATGCAGGAGGCCTCCGGGGCCACCCCACTGCCACGCGGGAGGCCTCGGGGGCCACATCTCCGCCATAGGGGAGGCTTCTGGGGCCAGCCCTCTGCCACACGTGAGGCTGCCGGCCCACTTCTCTGCCATGTGGGAGGCAGCCGGGGCCACATCTCTGCTATGCTGGAGGCCGCTGGAACCACCTCTCCAATGCTGGGGATAGCTCCCTGGAGCCATCTCCTTTCTCACAGAGGCGAAACCCACACCTTCCCCAAGGAACGGAGCTCACGCCCCTTCCTGCCTCCATTTCCCAAGCTGTCACCGTAACAGTCACTACAGGACAGTCAGAATGGTAGGATTTGAGCTAAATTGCTAGAATTAGAGAGCGTCACAAAAATTCTAGGAGGTCAGCAACTTTAGGTAATGCCCACACCTGATGGGGGAAATCACTGTCTTCCGGCGGGCTGGTCCTCTTTGGTGACAGATGAAGTCAGATGCTTCCGGGATGAATTTGGTTCACCTTTGAAGGACACTTTGAAAGCAACACAACAAAACTGGCTGGGCCTTGTACTCTCCGCTCCCTCGAGAAGCTCCCCGCCCGGTGCCGCTGGCTTCTACTGTTTCTAAGCTGCCTGTTGGGCACGTTCCCTCCTGGTGGTCCCGGGGCAGCCAGACCCACCCTGGGACATCCAGGCCCCCTGGGCACAGACATCTTGTACAAGGTCAGAGAGACTGGGTTTCGGGCTTCATGAGCCTCAGAAATTCAGCTCTCAGGAGGCTCGTGGGAGGCCTCCAGGGTCAGGTCTCTGCCGGAGAGAAAAGGGGCGGCCTGGGCTTCTCTTCAAAAGTGTTACCTGACAACAAGGGAATTCAGCCACACACCAGGTGGCTCCGTGGTCCCCTGAGGTCCCCAGCCTTTGACAGTGTGTGTGTATGTGGTGTGTGGTGTGAAATGTGGGTGTGATATGTGTGTGTGGTATGTGTGCATGTATGTGTGTGGGGGTATGTGTGTGTGGTGTGTGTGGTATGGTGTGTGTGTCTGTGGGGTACATGTGTGGTGTGTGTGGGGTATATGTGTGGTGTGTGTGTATATGGTATGTGTGTGGTGTGTGTGTGATGTGTGTAGTATGTGGTATGTTTGTGTGTGTAGTATATGTGGTGTGATGTGTATGTGGTGTGTGTAGTATGTGTGCAGGTATGTGTGTGGTATGTGTGGTGCTGTGTGTGTGGTATGTTGTGTGTGTATGGTATGTGGTGTGTGTGTGGTGGTGACATGTGCGTATGGTGGTGTGTGTGTGGTGGGGGTGTGTGTGGTGTTTGTGTGGTGTGAATGTGTGTGTGGTGGGGGTGTGTGTGGTGTTTGTGTGGTGTGAATGTGTGGTGTGTGTGTGTGGTGTGTGTGGTGGTGACATGTGTGTATGGTGGTGTGTGTGTGGTGTGTGTGTGGTGGGGGTGTGTGTGGTGTGAATGTGGTGTGTGTGGTGTGTGTATGGTGGTGTGTGTGTGTGGTGCGTGGGGTGGTGACGTGTGTGTATGGTGGTGTGTGTGTGTGTCTGTGGTGGGGGTGTGTGTGTGGTGTTTGTGTGGTGTGAATGTGTGTGGTGTGTGTATGGTGGTGTGTGTGTGTGGTGCGGGGGTGGCAGGATGTCATTAACTTGGTTCTAAAGGTGGTTTGGGTTCAGGTCCTGGAGTACATGCTCAGGAACTGTCAAGCAATCTGGGGGCACAGGAAGGAGACCGGGCGCTCCTGCAGGTATTAAATCGTGTTTTGCGTGAAGATCAGCGTTCAGACCAGTAGTACAAAACAGATGGTCTAGGAATGAACGTGACAACACAAGGGCCTGGAGTGTATGACGAAGGGGGCATTTCAAACCCGTGGGTACAGAAAAAATCCACCCGATAAACACAAGTGGGAAATTGTGTAAGAAAATGAAGTGAGATTCCAATATTAAAAAGTCAGATAGGTCAAAATCTAAATAATAAACAATTTACCATAAGATAATTAGAAGAAAATATAAAATACTTTTTAATCTTGGGTTCAAGTTGTCACAAAACCTAAGCTATTTTTTTTAATCCAGAAGTATTAAAAGTTTGCTATTTCCTATAGACAAATAGCTCCTACAACTTGGTGAGGAAACAGGGTCCAGGAGCATTTTCTCTGCTCGGGTGAAGCTCAGGGGAAGACATAAGTACATGAAAGACATTCCGTTCTGTAATGATTAAAAAATCAAAAGTTAACACCATCACATTGGTAAACGTTAAAAGGTTTAATAACTTTTTTTAATATACTGCTGTTGCACATGCAAACTGATAAAGCCTTTTTGGAAAGTAATTTGGCAATAAAAATGCACATACTTTATGAGCAAAAAAAATCCCGTTTCTTATAATCTAATTGATAAGAATTATAGCATAAGTGCATGTATGTGTATGAGAACAGTCACTCTGGCATCGCCTGCAACAGCAAATAAATGAGTGGCAAACAAGCTCTCGCGGAGGGTATTTAAATATTTTATGTGACTAAGAAGAATGAGATACGTCCATTTGCTGTGATAAGAAAAGATATTCCACAGTTTCGTATTTGTTAAGTATTTTCAGCAAATCATGGAACACGATGCAACACCCGATTCCATGTTTGAAAACAGAACAGAACAAAATTCAACAAGAAATAAGCGCCCGCGTCCACATATTCTCGTGCCTGGCGTGTTTTACGTGCTTGGGAAGCGGAGCGGCCGCTGGGCTTGGCTCTGAGGTCGGGACTGGTGCAGGCGGATGCATGTATGTGCCCGGGTCCCGCCTCCACACGCCTGCCTGGCGCCAGCCTGCCTGTCCTCCCTGCACCCGCCCCCGCTCCCTGCACCCACCTGCCCCCCCTCCCTGCACCCGCCCC
Source organism: Homo sapiens (assembly GCF_000001405.40). Classification (NCBI taxonomy): domain Eukaryota; kingdom Metazoa; phylum Chordata; class Mammalia; order Primates; family Hominidae; genus Homo; species Homo sapiens. The sequence goes on from NT_187563.1 coordinate 97,425, forward strand.
CCCTCCCTGCACCCACCTGCCCTACTCAGGGTGGTGAGAGCGGAGGGGCTCTGGGGCTTCATCCACACGTCTCCTAGTCACCCTCTCGACCAAGAGCATCCTCTGGATTTTACATTCACTTGGCAACAAAAAAAGTTTGAGAGAGGACTTTGAACATCAAAAATGCTTACATTTGTTATGTCACAAACACAAAGCGTTCTCCTAGGAGGTTTCTGGTACAGACCATGTTTCCTGAGGACCTGGAGGGTATCGCACCTACAGCCAGCAACGCCGTGCAGCACGCTCGGAGCGCACCCAAGAGGGCAGATCAGAGGGGCGCACGCGGATCCCCAAAATCCTGAAGATATGTACGGAAAATATGTGCGGCTTTTCCTGCCGACCAGGCCTCCACGAAGTGCTTCGATAAAATAAAACCAGCCTGTCATGGAGGAGTCCCCTTTGCCCGGAGAGCCTGTCCTTCCCCTCTGGGGGTCACACTGCCAGTTTGTCAAAGTTGGGCGAAGTGGCCCCTGCCTGGAACTCTCTGGCCTTATGAAGCCCCCTCCCCGTTCATGCCGCTCAATCGAGTGACTCTTACAGATCATCTTGAGCTGCCTCATGGGGTGGGGCTCGCGTTCCCATCTGCCTTCTGCAAGGTGTGGCCTCTGACCTGCAGCCCGCACTGAGCCAGCAAGCCGCGGGAGAGGCCAGGCGCCCGCAGCGGGGCATCTGCGCCTGGTGTGCAGCGTACTTGCTATACTCAGGCCAGCCCAGCCCTGGGCCATCTCCCTGAGTTTCAGCTCCCCGGGGCCACCTCTCCTGGGTCCCCTCTTTGCTGTGGCTCTGGCGGACATTAGCCAGCAGTGGAGAGAAGCCCATCTCCACCCCCAGGGAGCTCAGCCGAGGTCTCCGCGTCCCAGCACCAGCTGCCTTCAGCTCGAGGGTGTGTTTTCGGGGGTGGGGATCCCACATGGCACGGCTCCTGCACGTCCAGGGCATCTGCTAGTCGTCTTTGCCTGCTCCCCAGTGTCCCAAGCAACTCAGTAGGACCTTGGGGAAGCTGGGTGCTCACAGAACACCTTGTAAGCGAATGAGGAAAGCAGGCTTGTCCGCTGGCCACACTGCACGACAGACGTCTGCCCAGGCTGGGGCCGGGGGTCTCTGCTCCTACAGCCCGCAGATGGGCCACCCGGAGGCTGCCCCGTGATGGCTGGACCTGAGGCTTTCCAGTGACTAGGAGGGCTTGGGTACTTCTTATTCATGAGCTGTACGTTCTACAGCGTGGCTGGTCATTTAATGTGTGCAATCGATGGGCACTGCGCTTCAACTTCAAAGCATGACCGGGCGGATCAATCTCCCAGGGCCGCGGGTGCCGAGTTTAAAACTCATCTCTTTTTCTAAAGTGGAGGCAAGGGACCCCAGTTTGGGATTAATCAGCAGTGATGAGCTTAAATAAATGAGATAAATTTTCTATCTATCTTGTAAGGCTTTTTTTCAGAATTAATGGGACCCCTCTACAATGCGCTGTGCCCGGGGAGAGGAAGGGGGCGCAGCTGCATCTGCAGCTGCGGTTGTGGTCGGGAGAATGAGGGCCTGGAGCTGCCCAGGACGGGCTCAGGCACAGGCACCCAGCCGAGAGTCCCCTGCTGTTCCCTCTGCAGAGCAAACACAGTTTCTGCTGAAAAGAATGTGGCAGATGAACAAAAATTGTAAGGTTTTCTAAAGGTGTTTCATTACGTGAGATGGCAGAGGTTGGTCTCCATGTCACAGATGACCCTCGCGGCGGTGATAACCTTTACATTTTGGGGTGCTCTGTGGACCCCCTGTGTACCCTGTGAGTATGCACGTTTCTAGAGGTGGAGTTTGACCCTTGAATTGTTCAAATTATAAGTAGAATCACAGAAATTGGGGGAGGAAAGGATCTGAGGGGCCTCCAGGGCCCGTGGCTTCACCCTGGGGTGGGGGCAAGGGCGGGGCGTGGTGCCTCTTCCGGGGTGGGATGGGTGGATGCTCGTGGTTCATTCCCACGTGGGATTCTCACATGCTCGCCCTCCGGCTGTCAGGAGCAATGGTGAGTTCTGCCACACGTGGAAAACACGTTGGCTTCTCTGGGTTTTAAGTGTCCTGTCAGCAGCTCGGAGCCTCTAGGAGACACCGTCCCCCAGGGCCACGTATAGATCCACTGGAGGCCTGAATGGCATAATTCGTGGCACCCCTGGCACCACACAGGGGTGTTTCTGTCCCCTTCTCCTCCCATGGCTTAGAAGCAGTAATCTCCTGACCTCCAGGCAGAAGTCAATTTCCTCCTTTGCCTCCTCCGCCTTGCAGGGACCCCAGGGCTGACCTGCCTCCCTCGGCCCCCTCTCTGCCAGAGCCAGGTCTGAGGTCAAGGCTTTCGGTGTTTCTGAGGCCACGCTGAGGGCCCCACAGCCCCTTCCCGGGTCCCCACCCTCCAGGCCACCTTCGGGCCTCGGCAGCACACCTCGAGGGGCCCAGGACAAGCTCGGGGCCCAGGTGGCCGGGAGGGGGCCGCCTGTGTCTCGCCCCTCATTCTCTGCTCTGACCCGGGCTCGCACCTCCCCTCGTTCTCTGCTCTGACCCGGGCTCGCACCTCTCCTCGTTCTCTGCCCTGACCCGGGATCACACCTCCGACCCGGGCTCACACCTCCCCTCGTTCTCTGCTCCGACCCGGGCTCACACCTCCCCTCGTTCTCTGCTCCGACCCGGGCTCACACCTCCCCTCGTTCTCTGCTCTGACCCGGGCTCACACCTCCCTGCTCCACCCAGGCTGCCTGCACTTCCGGTTCTGCGTCTGGCCGGCCTACGGGCACTCGGGCAGTGCGGTGACCAATTATAGCGTCGACGATGGCAGCTTCCCTCTGAAAGCCCATTGTGTCTGCCCCTATTCTTTGAAGCTTCACTGCTTTCGGATAAGTATGAAAATAGGCTCTCCCTCTCTGAGTCAAAGGAGGCAATTATACAATAGGACTATCACCCTCACTGTCACTCTCCGCTTTGTTTAAATGTGGGGATTTCATTTCTTCATCGCCTCTGTGAACACCCACTAAAACCGTAAGTGGGAAAAGTGGGTGCCTTCTGTATTTTACATTTTTTATTGTGTCACTTACTGCAAAGCAGCTCAAGGAGCCTGAAGACACCCAGCCTGAAACCACGATAAATGTGTGGAGTTGTGGAGACAGCTCACCAGCAGAACAGTGAGCTACCTTCTCTCCCAGTAACCTTTTCCAGAGGAAACCTCTTTGAAATATCACAAGCAAAATTTAAATCACAAAATACTTCATATCTGCCTGCACTCATTGTCATGCTAAAGCACATCACCTCGGTCCTCAGAGAGGAGGGATTTCCATGTGAAAGAGGCCAGAGTGCTTCCCTCACTTAGCGGGGATGCAATTATAAAGTATTGAAACTTCCTCTAAGACATGGATCCCTGTGCGTCGCAGCCCCTCACCTGTGCACCTGGGAGGCACCTGGGGATGGGGTGGGGGTGTCAAGCTTGAAGCCCCTCACCTGTGCACCTGGGAGGCTCCTGGGGCTCAAGCTCAAAGCCCCCTCACCTGTGCATCTAGGAGGCACTTCGGCGGGGTCGGGGGCGGGGGGGGCTCAAGCTAAAAGCCCCTCACCTGTGCACCTGGGTGGCACCTGGGAGGGGGACTCAAGCTCAAAGCCCCCTCACCTGTGCATCTAGGGGGCACTTTGGCAGGAGGGAGGGTGCTCAAACTAAAAGCCCCTCACCTATGCACCTGGGAGGCCCCCAGGAGCTGCAGCAAAGCTGGGCCCCAGCCACAGCCTGCAAAATCTCCGACTCCACATGGGGCCTCAGCACCGTCTGTTTGCTCACCCTCCCCAGGGGGCTGAGGCTGGGAACCACTGCTCTTTAACTCTCAACCTCTTCCCAAGGTGCTGTCTATCTGTGGCCCTTGGAGTTCTGTACTCGGCAGTCATTTATTTACAAGTCGCATGAGAAAGTCCTTCCAGCCACTTTCTGTGCTTGCTCTGACATTTGCCCAAACTAACGTTGCTGAGGTTGACCTCATGTTTATTCAGGGAACTTGATTCATTTTCAAGCTATTGATAACAACAAAGTCCTCCCCAACCAAGGAACTTCCGCCATGGAGGCGTTTTCAAAAGAAAGTGCTTGTGCTCATCCCCAGAGGGTTCCTGAGCCTGTGGACGAGGCGGGAGGCGGGAGGTGGAGGAGGTGGCACCTGGCAGCTCACCTGGTGTACCTTCTGTGAGACCCAGCCAGCCCATCGGTCACCAAGGGGTGCATGTCACACCCTGACCTGCCTGACGGAGGGAGCCCATGAAGCAGAACAAACACATGTGATGCTGACGCCCTCAGAAACCTGGGGCTAAGGCCACACCTGATCACCGTGATGGAGGGGGGCAGGCGCCGAGGCGAACTTGGGAGAGGCCCTATGGTGCACACCCCTACCCTTCCTGGCTGGAGAAAAATGGCCCGCCCCGTGAAACAGCAAATAAACACACGCGTTCCAGGACGTGAGATACGGCCTCCACATCAATCAGAGGGACCTGCCCAGTCCTGTCAATTTTCCATCTAAATTACATAACTGTCCTCCTTAGAGACGCGGGGATGCCCAGGCACAGGCATGAAAGATCGGCCTTGAGGTTATTTTGTCTCTGCAAGTATTGATGCGAGGACTTGTGGCGCTTTTCTTTCCCGGTGAACTTTCCCAACTGCTGATGTTACGTGCACTAAGCACATGATTTTCCTATTCATTCCCGAATCTCACATTTTACCGGGATGGTGACATCCCTGTGGGGCCTTGTGGGCTCTGAGCTCATCTACACCCAATCCTAGTCAGCTCTGCTGCCCCTGCGGGGTAAACTGGCAGCTCTGAGTTCACTGGGTGCTGTTTACTGAACGCCTGCCCATGGAAGCCACTGTCCTCATCACTGGGAAAGGCGCAGAGAAGAGAAGGAAACGTTAAAAATCTGGTTGGAGAGAGGAAACAAACTTGGACCATCTTTGACAGTGGTATTAGTCCATTCTCCATGGCTACAAAGAAACACCTGAGACTGGATGATTCTAGGAAAGAGGCTTAATCGGCTCAGAGCTCTGCAGGTTGCACAGGGAGCACGGCAGCTTCTGCTTCTGGGGAGGCCTCAGGGAGCTTCCAGTCACGGTGGAAGGCGAAAGGGAAGCAATCTCGTCCCACGGTGGGCGTAGGCGCAAGGTGGGAGGGGCTACCCAGGTTTAAACACACGGGTCTCAGAAAACTCACTATCATGAGAACAGCAAGGAGAGGGTGGTGCAAAACCATTCAAAAATCACCCCCAAGTCCAGTCACCACCCCCCAGGCCCCACACCCAACACTGGGGATTACGGTTCGACAGGAGATTTTGGGGCACACTGATCCAACCATCTCAACAGCAAAGAGTGATCTGCCTCGAGTTCCGACTCGCCGCTCAGACGAACTCACGGCTCAGCTGGGAGAATCACACGGGAGGGGCCCATGAACGGGCACTGGGGCCACAGCCGGGGATTCAACTGCACCGAAATCCCAGCCCTCAACACGGCCCACGGCTGTGTCATCCCGGATTTATCACTATAAAGCAAAACCAAAAACGGACCTCAGGTTTCTCTGCAATATGTAGGATCCGTGAAACCTCCAACGTGAAATGAGAAGTAGGTAGCCTCGAATCTGCACCCAGGCAGCCCCAAAGGCTATCTGATGACAACACACATTTTCTCATGAAGCGGAGGAGAGTCCGGCCTTGTTGCTGGGCCTGCAGGACATCCCATCGCTCATCTTAATTCTCCTGAGGGTGATATTTACACCTGATATTTACAAGGTGTGGCAAGTGAGAATTTCATCCCAGCCTCCTGCCTGGCAGGTTACACAAGCTGGCCACAGGGATGCTTATGGGCTGAGGTCGTGGGAGGCATCCCGTGAGGGTCACAGGCTGAGGTCGTGGGAGGCATCCCGTGAGGGTCACACAGGCAAAGACTGTCAGCCAAAAGGAATTCCAAGGCCCGGACGGGAGGCGGCCACAGGCTCCTGGGTGTGCTGTGGGACGTACCACTCGGTGGCAGGGCCTGGCCAGAGAGCTGCCCTGCAGGCCTGTGGGATCCTTCAACGCGAAGCTTGCATTCCAGGAGCTCCCTGAGCCCTGAGACCATGGTGAGGGGCTGCGTTGGGCCAGGCTGGGTGTGCACCTGTCAGTTACATTTTCCTATGTGTCCTCCTTCCTTTCTTTGGAGCCTGAATCTTTGTCTTTAGCATCCTTTGTAGTCTTGAATTCTGAGCCCATTCCTGAGACCCCTCTGAACCTCCAGAGGCCCCGCAGCTCTCAAGCTGGAGGACTGGGGACTATGCTCATCTTTCCTTTGACCCCAGGTCTGTCTTCCTACATTTCTTTAACGATTATTTCTCTGGGCCAGGCGTCGTGGCTCATGCCTGTAATCCCGGCACTTTGGGAGGCTGAGGCGGGTGGATCACCTGAGGTCAGGAGTTCGAGACCAGTCTGTCCAATATGGTGAAATCCCGTCTCTACTAAAAATACAAAAATTAGCTGGGTGTGGTGGCGCACGCCTGTAATCCAAGCTGCTCGGGAGACTGAGGCAGGAGAATCGTTTGAACCTGGGAGGCGGAGGTTGCAGTGAGCTGAGATCGTGCCACTGCACTCCAGCCTCGGTGACAGAGCGAGACTCAGTCCTAAAAAAATAAATAAAAATAAAAATAGAAAAGAATTATTTCTCTACCTTTTGGAATGTGAAATTGCCTCTGAGACGAACCTGTGATTTGTCACCTCTGGGAGATGACAAGGATGCCTCTGTGACCTTTGTCCCCATGCTAAATATTTTGTCACCATGCTGGCTTTCTTGTTTGCATCAGTAACAGACCGGCCATTTCTCCCATTTGGCTGTACAGTCGTTAGCAGTGGCCCCTCCACACACACAGACACACACGGACACACACAGACACACACATGGACACACACGGACACACACACACACGTCGCTTCTGGTCTGAGAATGTCTGCCTCCTTTCCATTCCCCTGGGCAGGTTATTTTCTTCTCCTAATCACAAAACCCATCCTTCATCTTAATAATTCTCCTGAGAGCGATATTTACACCCTATAATTAGAACTTTATGTTCGTTTTATTAATTACCTCTTTTTTGCCTATTGATGTGAAAGAATCTGGGGCTAAAAGTATTACAGATGGCTCTACACATTGAACCGTTGATATTTAAACTCAATCAGCAGATGCTGGTGCTGTGGGGTGGGGTGGGGCAGGGTGGGCGTCCCACCGGCTCCTCAGGCCTTCCTCCACATCCCATCGGCTCCACTCAGGGACTCCACTTCTTCTCAGCACCTGTGCCCTCCAGTCCCTCTCCCAGGAAGGCAGCAGGAGAGGAGACCCCCGTGCCATCTTCAATACCACCCCTGTGACTAGGGTGCTGCCCCCTCCTCCTTTCTTCTCCAACTTCTAGATTTGGCCCCTAAATGTGACTGAATAACGTGGCAAGCCCTTCAGACATGACAACCCCATCGGGTCAGAGAGGTAGTGGTTGCAGCTGGGCCTGGCCCACCATCGGGGTGGGGCCAGCAGGAGCAGGAGCACGCTGTGTGCTCGTGGGGAGGAAGGGCTGGGTGAGGCTGGAGCGTGGGTGGGAGGTGCTGGACAGGGATGCTGAGGGCAACGGGCCCTCCCTGCACCGAGGCTTCAGCAGCCCTGCTCTCTGCTGTCAGCCTCGGATCCGGGCTGGCCTGGCCTTCATCTCTCCCCAGGCTCCAAAGACCCCACATCGCCATCTCTTGCCGTGAGACCTCCCCACGCTGAACGTGTGTTCCTCTAGCCACTTACTCAACGTCTCCACTGCAGGCCCCAGTGTAACTTGGCCAAGCAGACATTTCATTTTCCCCACCAGAGCAGACCCAGCCCAGGGCTCCCTCCTCACCTTGGGACCTACAGCAGGTCCTGCCCCAGCTCCATGTGCGGGTCCCTCATCTGACTCGCACACTGCCCCTCCGACTGGCCCAGGGCCTCCACTCCAGCGTGTGCTCCTCAGGCCCAGTGTTCTGAGCGTGGAGTGAACTTTCTAAGTCACAATTTAAGTCACATCCCTCTCCCTCTGGAAATGTCTGCTGGCTTTGCACCCACCAAGGACAAGATCCACAGCCTTCAACACACGGCATCACGAACCACCTCCCGAGCCGGCCCCCTCCATCCCTCAGAGTCACCACAATCGGCCTACCCCGTCCCTCAGAGGCACCACAGCCGGCCCCCTCCATCCCTCAGAGGCACCACAGCCGGCCCCCTCCATCCCTCAGAGGCACCACAGCCGGCCCCCTCCATCCCTCAGAGGCACCACAGCCGGCCCCCTCCATCCCTCAGAGGCACCACAGCCGGCCTCCTTTGTCCCTCAGAGGTACCACAGCCGGCCTCCCCCATACCTCAGAGGCACCACAGGCAGCCTCCTCTGTCCCTCAGAGGCACCACAGCCGGCCTCCCCCATCCCTTAGAGGTACCACAGGCAGCCTCCTCCATCCCTGAGGCACCACAGGCGGCCTCCTCCATCCCTCAGAGGCACCACAGGCGGCCTCCCCATCCCTCAGAGGTACCACAGATGCCCTCCTCCATCCCTCAGAGGCACCACAGCCAGCCTGCGTGGCCTCTGTGTTTCTCCCCGGGGTCTTTCCAGGCTGGGCTTCTTCTCGTCCTAACGCTCAGAGGCCTCTGCTTAGCCCCACCTTCCATCACTGTGCCCTCTTCTCCTTTCTTCACATCACACCTTACTAGAAATTACCCGGTCACTATAGTGCCTGTCCCTTCTCCGCGACAAGGGGACCCCTAGCGTGCTTCCCCGCTGCGCTCCCAGCTCCTACAACAGTGTCTGGCCCCTCAAAGCGACTCAACGACCCTCTGCTGATCCAAAGACTCGGCATCCATGTGCCTCCCAGGCCGCCGCACTCCTCCTCCTGGGAACACCCTCGTACGGACGTTCTGTGGAAATAGATGTTGTGTTTTCACCTCTTGTACCTTGTTCACTTAAAATTTAATCAACATCTTATTAGAGAAAGAAAGAGGTTCTTTGCTTTTTTTAACTTTTAAAATATGAATACCTGCCGGGTGCGGTGGCTCAGGCCTGTAATCCCAGCACTTTGGGAGGCCGAGGCGGGCGGATCACGAGGTCAGGAGATCGAGACCATCCTGGCCAACACGGTGAAACCCCGTCTCTACTAAAAATACAAAAAACCAGCCGGGTGTGGTGGCGGGCACCTGTAGTCCCAGCTACTCAGGAGGCTGAGGCAGGAGAATGGCGTGAACCCGGGAGGCGGAGCTTGCAGTGAGCCGAGATCGCACCACTGCACTCCAGCCTGGGCAACAGAGAGAGACTCCGTTTCAAAAAAAATATATATATACATATATATATATACACACACATATATATACACACATATACATATACACACACATATATATACACATATATATACACATATATACACATATATATACACATATATATACACACACACACACATATATATATGCACATATATATGAATACCCAATACCCAATCCACAGCTTTCTCTTTGTGGTGCTTATGTGGTGTCACAATGCGTCTTGTGCCTCTCATCTGATTCCGCTACACGGTGCAAGTTACGCCAGACCAGAAACTGAACCGACGCTGAAAGTATCAGGCCTTCCGCTTAGCGCTGCCTTCGAGATCAGTCTCTCGACCCCTGTTAGGAGCAACGGCGGTGAGGCAGGATGAACGGCCTCATCCACGGAGCACTGCTTTGCCGTCTCCAGAAAGAGCTGTCGAGGTTTATTTATTCACGGAGAGGCTCTGCATCACGAGAGTGCTGCGTTAACCCAGGTGCGGGGGATATTATCCTCCCCGTGAGAGCAGCTGCATGGATTTTTTTAATGTCAAATTCCATATGAAACAGCACAAATCCCCATTTCTGCCCCACTGGGTTGAGAAATCTGTGGGTGATAGAGTATAGGTAAAAACATCTTAGCCTGCATGAAAACAAACATCATCTTAGAAGAAGGAAAGAGCAAATGTTTTAAAGGCCTAAAAATAATAATTTTCTCTAGGGAAAAATTTGATGGGCACGCTATGATTTATTGCCAAATGATATTTAAGAAAAATTCACAGGAGAGGCGGCTGCTGAATGCCTCCACCGAGGGTTCTGGGAAGGAAAACGCCCGCTTAGTGGAAGAACAGAACGGCCGCACAGAAAGTGCTTGGTCCTTGGCTTCCTGTGTCTCCCCCAAAACACACGTGGCTTATCAGAAACCTGCAGGAAAACAACACAGATTTATTCTCTCACAGGAGGCCACGGTCCAGATGGGTTTCACTGAGCTGAAGTCAGGGCTTGGGTGGGCCGCACGCTCTGGGGCGGCTCCTGACCTTTTCTGGCTTGTGGCACCTGGCTGGACTTCTCGGCGTGCAGCTCCTTCGTCCACCGTGAAACCCGCCCCGGCGTCCCTCTCCGACTCCGCTTCCTTCATGGGACTTCACTTCCGTGTGCTAAGAACGTGTAGCGAGGCCCACCGTGTTGACACTTCCCTGAGTGTGCAGCGTGGTACTGTTGGCTCTCAACCGTACGGCAGATGTCGAGACCGCGTTGAGGCCGCGTCGCTGAAACCTTGTGCCCTTGGAACGGCCCCTTCCCGTGCTTCCCCCAGCGCCAGACCCGGCAGCCTCCATCCTCCTCTCTTCTTCGGTGCGTTCAATTGTCATAGATTCCACGCTTCAGCGACGTCGTGCAGCCTCTGTCCTGGGCCTGGCTTTTGTTTCACTTCACGTCATGTCATGCAGGTTTATCCCTGTTGTTGCAGATGGCAGGTTGTCCGTCTTGTCTTAAGGCTGAAGAGCACCCACTGGGTCTATGCACCACGCTTTCCTGCCCGCTCGTCCCTGGGGGACATGTGCTTCCATGTCTTGGCTCCTGTGAACAATGCCGTGATGAACTCCGGAGCGCACCCGTCACTTCGAGGTCCTGATTTAACTTCCTTTGGATAAATATCTGGAAGTGGGATTGCTGAATCATATGGTGGCTCTATTTTTAATTTTTTGAGAAAACTTCATACTGTTTTCCATAATGGTTGCACCATTTATATTCCCACCAACAGCATGTAAGTGTTCAGAGTCTACACATCCTCACCAACACACGTCTTTTTGGTCACAGCCTCCTGATGGGTACAGAGACGTATCTCATCGTGGCTCTGATTTGCATGTTCCTGATCATTAGTGATGTTGAGCATCTTTCCATGTACAGTGTGTTGGCCATTTGTATGCCTTCTTTGGAGAAATGTCTACTAAAGTCCTTTGCCCATTTTTAAATCAGGTTATCATTATTATTTGCTATTGAATTGTAGGAAGTCCCTATACATTTTATTTTATTATTATTACTTTTTGGAGATGGAGTCTTGCTCTGTCATCCAGGCTGGAATGCAGTGGCACCATCTCGGCTCACTGCAACCTCCACCTCCCAGATTCAAGTGATTCTCCTGCCTCAGCCTCCCAAGTAGCTGGGATTACGGGTGCCCGCCATCACACCCAGCTAATTTTTGTATTTTTAGTAGAGACAGGGTTTTGCCATGTTAGCCAGGCTGGTCTCGAACTCCTGACCTTAAGTGATCCACCCACCTTTGCCTCCCAAAGTGCTGGGATTATAGGTGTGAGCCACCACACCCAGCCACCTATACATTTTAAATATTAACTCCTTATCCGTTATGTGGTATGCAAATATTTCCTCCCCGGTGACCAGTAGGGGATGCAGAGACCACACACCCACCACTCACCCTACCTTTCGTGGGCTGCCCTCTGGATTTGCTGATTGTTTCCCTGCTGATGCAGGAGCTCACTGGTTTGATGTTGTCCTGCATGTTCACATTTGCTTCTGTTGCTTGTGCCTTTGGTGTCAGATCCAAGAAACCTTTGCCTAGATGAATGTCATCATGCTTCCCCCGTGTTTTCTTCTAGTACGTTTATGGTTTCCAGTCTTATGTCTCAGTCTTTAGCCCATGTTGAGTGGGTTTTTGTGGATGTGAGGTGAGGGTCCGATGCCGTTCTTTTGCATGTGGACATCCAGTTTCCCCAGCACCTGTGAAGAGGCGACCCTTCCCTATGGTGTATTCTCCTCATGCTTATGAAGGAGCACTTGGCAGTGTATGAGTTGTTTCTGGACTCTCTGTTCCATTGATCTATAAGTCTGTTTTTATGCCAGTAGTGTATTGTTTTAATAACCATAGCTTTGTAATATATTTTGGAATTGGGAACTGTTGCATGATTTTTTGTGGAGCTCTGGGCAGGTTTTTCATGATGGCAAAATATGTCAACTTTTCTTTTTGGTGTAATTTCTTCATTGCTAACATTTTCCCTAGACAGTGAAATAATAAACATTTTCTAAAAGTTCCTCAAGAAAAACTATTGAAATTATTTAGTAGAAACATATGCAAGAGTAGATAATATTGATGTATCCTTATTATATTTAGAAGTTAAAATTAAAGAGGATCTTATGGGAAATTTAAAAATTGCACAGTAAGGGATTCCTTAAGAAACAGGCGCAAGCCCTTATTTCGTAGCATCTAATTCCTCACCGGGTGTGGAGGGGCCTGTTTACCCAATGCCCCCGCGAAGTCATAGTTTGGTGGCATACAGCTCTTAAGAATGCTTATTAGCTCTTAATATCAGAGAGGATTAACCTCCTACTTCATGAAACAATTTGCTAAGGCTGGGAATTTTTCTTCCATGTCTGTGAGGACTGCCTTCCCTTCTTTCCACACACTTCTTCATTCGTTGTGTACCTGCTGAGCACTCATGATATGTCAGACCAAGTTCTAGGGACTGCAGTGGTGAACAACTCCAGTGTCTGTGCACGGAGCTTCCATTCTGTAACCATGCAGCTGCTCCAGAGAATGCCAAGGTCCCAGCCAAAAAGCTCTAGATGATTCTAGACTGTGCACGGAGCTTCCATTCTGTAACTGCAGCTGCTCCAGAGAATGCCAAGGTCCCAGCCAAATAGCTCTAGATGAGGGGTGACACATAAGGTGAGGACCCACGCGTGCACACACATACACACACTTGCACACACATGCACACAGTCTCCCCTCTGACCCTTCTCGCCCTACTGGGTGACCAGTAGGTGATGCAGAGACCACCCACCCACCATTCAGCAAGATCTGACACCTTCTGACTCTTGACAGATGATTTCTGCAGACAGATCCGATGTCATCTTCCTCCCAGCCCCCCTTCTCCCAGTCCTGCCTCTTCCCACCCTGCAGGTCTAGGCCTCACTCACGAGAGAAGGCTGGTTTTATCCACTGTGTGTGGAGCCTGGCAACAAGCATCCCACATTGGTGTGATCCAGGTTACCCTCTCGCCATGCAGTGCCCTCACTGCCCTTGCTGCCCCTGAGCTCTCAGAGGGATGCGCTGCCTCAGCGTGGGGTGGGAGTGCCGCTCTGCACACTAGACTCAGTCCTCTCTCTGCCTGGAAATACCCACAAAGGCCACAGGATACAGATAATAGCTGTACTGGTGCTCTCAGACACATTTTCCATGAAAAGAAGAAAATAGCAAATTCCAGTAAGCATTAAGGAAACTCCTTCTCTGGGAGTCTCTGTTCCTCTCCCCCACAGTGCTTCTTATACTGTGCATTTGAAAGGTGTTTTAAAAGGACTTGTTGTTTCTTTAAGAAGCATAGAAAAAATATATATACTCCTGTGTGTGTGTGTGTGTGTGTGTGTGTGCGTGTGCAAATACATCATCAACTGAAGGTCTGAAGAAAAGGGAAAAGATCGCAGCTCATCAGGAATGAAAGGTGGCTTGTTCTCCAGCATCCTAGTTAAAAGTTCAAAGCACATTTTTCTTATAAATTAGGCTGGAGTAAAATTCAGGGAGATGGGAAAAGGAAGACATAAATTTTTAAAACATGCGAAGAATTTAAATGAGCACCAGGGGTGAAAATTAGACACATAGAACATGTATTCGACGTAAACTCCCGGTTGTTTAAAGTCATTAACGTTGTGTCGTTATGTCTAGTGTCAGGTTATGGCTCCACAGCCTGTTTGCCAGTTAAGCGGTGGGGGCAGGGCAGGCCTTGGTCAATATTTGAGTAAAAGAAGAATCTTAATAAACCCAAGAAAGTAACTTCAATAATAAGACCAGGCAGTGTTTTGCAAAGCAGAACAGAAGCAATTCAAAAGGGAGAGAGACACAGCCAGAGGCCCCAGGAGCCCCCACCTTGGGGACATGGAGTGTCTGTGTGAGCCTGGCTTTGTTCTGAGGCAGGAGGGACCCGAGTGCTTGGGGCCAGCCCTGTCCTGTTCTGCGTTAGCGATGGGGTCTGGTGCTTCTCCACACACACCGTGGCTGTGTGTGCACCGGCTGGGTGACGGCCCAGGTGGTTTTGTGCCAGCTGCTGATGCTGAGTGCACCTGAAAGGCCCACTTAGCCTCTTTGTGAAGAGGTGTGGGAAGATGTGCACACAGTAGAGAGCAGACTATCACAAGCCACAAAAATGTGTGTGTGTGTAATATATATAAAGGTCGACCATTCCTTATCTGAAGTGATTGGAACCAGAAGTGTCTCAAATTTTGCATTTTAGAATATTTACATCACACTTACTGGTTGAGCATCCCAAATACAAAAATCTGAAATCCAAGATGCTCCAAATCAGCATTTTCCTTTAGGGTCAGGCCTATGCTCAAAAAGTTTTCGATTTGGGGGCATTTTGGGTTTTAGATCTGGGATGCTCAACCTGTAGGTGCATGTATATATGTGTATATATGTATATCTACATATGTATTCATGCATGTGTACAAAAATATGCACATATGTACATACAGATGTATCTGTATATATGTATATGTGTGCATGTATGTGTGCATATGTGTCTATAGATGTCTGGTATATATGTATATGTGCAGGTGTAAATGTGTGCAATAGATGCATATACGTGTATATGTGTGTATGTATGTATACATAGATGCATATGTGTGTATACATGTATATGCGTGTACATCTGTGTGCCCATAAAGATATATGCATGTGTATGTGCATACGCATGTATGTGTGTGTGTGTGTACATCTTCTGTCTCTGCATTCTTACTGGCAGGATTATTGGGAACTATTGGATCTTTCTGAGGAGGCCAGGATGATTTCCGTGGCCTGCCAGTTTCTCAGAGCTATCTGGGTTGAGGCACTGAGAACCCCCTCAGTCCAGGCAGACCACGGCCCGGTGGTCTGCATGAACAAAGTGAGTACTTGGAGGGCCACTGGCATGGGCCCAGCTTCCCGCTCTCCTCTGCATGCACAGCCTCTATCCCATCAGACCTGCACCTCAGCAGCACCAAGCTCAGGGGCTGCCCTGGGCTCCCCTCTGAGCATCAGCTCCTCTGTTCCAGGGAGAGCCTCTGCTCCCCTCAGGGCCCACCTCCTTCTAGCAGAAAGCTGATTCTTCCCCAGACTGGGCCCTCAGTTCTCTGCTAGGTTTGGCCAGGCTGGTGTCTTTGACATGATCTTCTGGGAGGAGAGGCAGAAATGGGGCCCTTCCGATGTAGCTGGCAAAGCTGTAGGTGAACGGTTTGTACCACCAGGGAACTGTGCCCGAGAACACATATGTTCCCACAACAATGGGGTTTGTCAGCTTGCAGGTGCCCAGCCCTTTCCGTGCCCTCTTGAGATGGGTTGGGGCAGACAGAGTAGGAATGCTTCCTGGCTGATTACAAGGAAATCCCGGCCCATTGGATGGGGAAGCCACAAGACGGCTGCTTGGAGAGATGGTGCTGCACACACATGGCAGCCAGAACGAGTGTGGGTTCAGAGAGCAGGAATAGCACTCCCTGCCCTTGTCATGCTGTGGCCAAGGTTTAGGACTCCACAGGGCCCAGATGTCTCCTCTGGTCCCAGGAGGATGGAGCCTCAGACCTGGGGCCATGGGGAGGGAAGAGGTGTTCCTTGGGACAAGCAGGAGCCCAGTGGGCAGATGCCTTTCTGCACAGCCAGGGGACTGCTCCTATTTCTACTGTTTGCCTGGCCCAATTCATCACAGGAGGGTGAGGGCAGGGCTGCATGCCTGAGAGCTGACAAATCCTTCACATCCTGGAGCTTTGTACTGAACACTGCAGGGTTCCATACAGCTGTCAGCTGCAGAGACTAGGCACCGCCCCTGCAAATGCCTGGCCTCCTGCTGTCCAGCTGCCTTCACTCTGGCCCGGAAGTGGTTCTGGGGACAGTGGCTTCCTTCCAGGGCAGAAGCTGAGATCCAGTGTCTGTGGAGCCTCTCATGGCACGTCAGGCTCTGGGATGGATGTTTACGTGGGTTACCCTACCAAATCCCTGAGAACTGCTGCTATGATTCCCACTTTACAGATGAGAAAACTGAGGCTTAGAACATTAAGCACTGTGAGCTGAGATCATTGGCTAGTGAGCAGCAGAGCTGAGGTCCAACTCCAAGTGTGTTTGCCCCCAAACTCACACTCTGTAAAAGTCCATGGGCATCCCAGATCTCCCACCCATGTCTTCCCACTGGACCAGGCATCCCCAGCCTCTGGGCCACGGACTGACACCAGTCTGTGGCCTGTTAGGAACTGGGGTGCACAGCAGGAGGTGAGTGGTGGGTGAGTGAGCTGTTGAGTGGCCGGTGAGTGGTGGGTGAGTGAGCAGGTGAGTGGCAGGTAGGTGAGTGGGTGAGTGGCGGGAGAGTGAGCTGTTGAGTGGCCGGTGAGTGGTGGGTGAGTGAGTACGTGAGTGGCAGGTAAGCGGGTGAGTGGCGGGTGAGTGAGCGAGTGAAACTTTGTCGGTATTTATAGCCAGTCCCCATGGCTCACAGTACTGCCTGGGCTCCACCTCCTGTCAGCTCAGCAGTGGCATCAGATTCTCATAGGAGCTTGAGCCCTGTTGTGAACTGTGCATGTGAGGGATCCAGGTTGCACGCTCCTTATGAAAATCTAATGCCTGATGATCTGTCACTGTCTCCCATCACCCCCAGATGGGACCAGCCAGTTGCAGGAAAACAAGCTCAGGGCACCCACTGATTCTACATGATGGTGGGTTTTATAATTATTTAATTATATATTACAATGTAATAATAACACAAATTAAGTGCACAGTAAATGTAATGCGTTTGAATCATCCTGAAACCTTCCCCCAACCTTGGTCCATGGAAAAACCGTCTTCCATGGAACAGGTCCCTGGTGCCAAAAAGAGTATGGACCGCTGTCCTGGACAAACCCTGGGCCTGGAATTGACCTTGTTGAAAACACTCTTTTGGATTAAGCATCTATAAGATTCAGTTGTTGCCTTGGACGATTCACATTTCACATGGTCAGTCCCTGCAGCACCTCCCGAAGTGTGGTGTGTCACTTGCTTTTATGTGGAATGTGGGCAGTTCTTAAAACTTTATTTTAATGCACACGTTCAGTCCCTGCAGCACCTCCCGAAGTGTGCTGTGTCACTTGCTTTTATGTGGAATGTGGGCAATTTTTAAAACTTTATTTTAATGTGCACGAGAAAAAGCAAAATAGTACATCAAAAACATGAATTTTGTGGGTACTGTTGCTTAGGATAAGTAAGAAGGTTTCGAAAGCTGAGTCAGTCCAAAGAGGAACGTGTTGCGACAAGCCAGATGCCTTATGGAGCCAGGAGGCTGTGACTCTGGCCCTGGAGGGGGCTCAGCCCTGAGCGAGGTGTGGAAGGAGCCCGGCACCACCCCTGCCGTGTGAGCTCCCACGTAGGCCCAGGGTTGGATGAGATGACACCGAGGCTGTGGAGCCAGGAGGCTGTGACTCTGGCCCTGGAGGGGGCTCAGCCCTGAGCGAGGTGTGGAAGGAGCCCCGCGCCACCCCCGCCGTGTGAGCTCCCGCGTAGGCCCAGGGTTGGATGAGATGACACCAAGGCACTGTGGCGAGCAGAACCGTTTCCCCAAAAAGACACGTTCAACTCCTAACACCAGCACAGTGAATGCCGCCTTCTGGACATAGGGTCTCTGTGGATGGAGTTAGTAAAGATGAGGCCCTTATCCAGTACGGCCGGCATCCTTCTAAGAAGAGACAGCACAGACACGCCCCGAGGACGGAGACGGAACGGAGTGAGGCGTCTACCTGCCAAGGAGCCCCCGGCATTGCCAGGAGCCACAGAGAGTCGCCCGAGAGCTTCCTGAGCACGTGGCCCTGACAACACCTGGATCTCCAGCTTCCGGCCCGCGGTCCCGTCAGACAATTCATTTCTGTGGTTTGAAGCCACCCAGTTTGTGGCACTTTGACCCCAGGATCCTCACAGGAAACCGTCTCACTGGCCCAGTCCTGCTGGGCCCTGCCCATGGGATGGACTTGCTGTCCTTGAACAGGAGGCAGGTTCGGGGAACAGGACTGTAATGGGTCATGGAAAATACCAGGCTGATGGCAGAGGGTGCGTGGGGAGGAGATCAGGGAACCGCCAGGCCGGAGCTGGAAGCCGGGGCCACCGTCCAACTCACGAGGGCTCGGCAGAGAGGACAGGGGAGCTTCCCCTGCTGGCTGAAGTGGGTGGAGGCGAACCTGGCCCACAACACCCTGAGCTTCTGCGGAGCCATGTGAGGGCCACGTGGAGAACACTGCAGTTCCACCTTCATCAGATAAAGCCAACCGTTGTTGTTTAAGCAAAGGCTGCGGACAGTGAGCACAGAACTTCACAACACATCATGGTCGCAGCGCACCATCCCCCGTGATCCCAAAGCAGCGATCTAGACGTGTGGGGTCCACAGGCGGGCGCCCTGGCACTGGGGGCTCTGCAACTTGACGAGGCTATGCCAGGCTGGGCTAGAGGTGCCGTGCTGGGCACAGGCTCTCCACGGGATGGCGGGACTGCTGGGCACAGGCTCTCCACGGGGACGGCGGGGCTGCTGGGCACAGGCTCTCCACGGGGACAGCGGGGCTGCTGGGCACAGGGTCTCCATGGGGACGGCGGGACTGCTGGGAGCTGGGTTCTCCACGGGGACGGGGACGGCGGGACTGCTGGGGGCTGGGCTCTCCATGGGGACAGGGACGGGGACGGCGGGACTGCTGGGGGCTGGGCTCTCCATGGGGACGGGGACGGGAACGGCGGGACTGCTGGGGGCTGGGCTCTTCACGGGGACGGCGGGACTTCTGGGGGCTGGCTCTCCACGGGGACGGCGGGACTGCTGGAGGCTGGCTCTCCACGGGGACGGCGGGACTGCTGGGCACAGGCTCTCCACAAGGACGGCAGGACTGCTGGGCACAGGCTTTCCACGGGGACGGCGGGACTGCTGGGGTCTGTGCTCCTCACCCCAGGGCTCACGCTTTTCCATGAGACCCTCCCCAGCCACATCGGGGGCTCTGAAGACTGAGCACTGAGGGTCAGCAGCAGGTAGGAGATGTCTTTGAAGTTTCATCTGTTATCTTAAAAACTCGTGGATTTTTGGGGCGGGGCGCTGTGGCTCATGCCTGTAATCCTAGCACTTTGGGAGGCCAAGGCAGGCGGATCACGAAGTCAGGAGATCGAGACCATCCTGGCTAACACAGTGAAACCCCATCTCTACTAAAAACACAAAAAATTAGCCGGGCGTGGTGGCGGGCACCTGTAGTCCCAGCTACTCGGGAGGCTGAGGCAGGAGAATGGCATGAACCCGGGAGGTGGAGCTTGCAGTGAGCGGAGATCGCACCACTATACCCCAGCCTGGATGACAGAGCGAGACTCCATCTCAAAAAAAAAAACCCAAAAAAATAAAACAAAAAAAACTCATGGATTTTTGTAATCTACTCTATTATATATATATATATATATATATATATGCACACACATGTATGTTTTAGTATCAAAATGACTTCACCCCAAATCTCCACGTGAAGTAGATGCGTCTCCTCTCCATCGTGGCTGTTGGCACAGTGCTGTGTACCTGAGTGTGTTCAACGTCTTGAGATTTCTAAGCTTAAGGGCAGGAGATAGCCCAGGGCTGGCACCCAAATCCTAAGAACCCTGGCCAAATATACAGGATTTAATGTCCTCAGCACCAGGCATCACACAGGAACGTGCGTGAGCCCATGAAATACTTGCTCAATAATAAATGCTGCCAAGCTGCTAAGCTTGGGGAACCTGATGAGCACTCGGCTTATGGGAGACTGATGCTCCCCACAGGCCGGCCCCTGTGCCGAGACTCCACGCAGTGGCTTCCTCGCTGTGACAGCCTCCCCTCATCTGACGAGGTCCAAACAGCGGGTCCAATTCTACCCACACCTCTTTGCATAGGGTGCTTCTCTGGATTTTAGGGTCTAGACCAAAGCTGAGGCTGTTTTATACATTTTGGGGTCCCTGGAACTCAGGACAAGGCCATCTGTATCCCCAATGCTGAATGAGTCTCCGACAGGTGATAGGGCGATGGGGTCGCTGTCTAAGTAGGGAAGGACCACCCTCGACTTAAGACATGGCTCAGTGAAAAAAGCCTCGCTCTGAGGACAGGCAGTGAGAAATGAGGAGGTTCAGGGCAGGCGGACTCCATGTGACTGAGGGTTTGGCCGGGCTCCCCTTATCAACCCGGCATCCCTCGACCATGTTCTCTGGTGCACACAGGTGAGCAGAGGGCAGTGTCTGCTCTGGCCAAGGCAGGGGCACCCCAACATCGCAGCCCCTTTTGGATGTGAGGTCCGCTCATTAGATCCGAGGGGCCGTCCTCCTCCCGTGCTGGGACCCTTGGGGCTTGCCGGGAGAGACGCCCAGAGGGAAGGGGCTTTGTGGGAGGAGGGGTTCCGCTGCCCTTCCTGGGGCACCTGTTTCGCTTTTTGTCTTTCTTTCCTCCCTTTCCACTCCACTCCCTTTGGGGCATGAGGGAGGTGAGGGAGGAGGGTGGGAAGAACAAAGGAGAGAATTCTGAGGAGGGCGTCCTGAGTTCCAGGGACTTCTTTCATCAAGAGGAAAAAGAAAAACTCTTTCAACACTCCCTGTGCATAGGGTGCTAATGAGCTGCAAATTGAAATTATTTGGAGTTTTTCTTAATGGTGAAAAGAAAGAAGTTGTCAGAGGAGACCAGAAACTCTATGTCAGCTGAGAAAGCTGTAAGCGAGAGAGATGAATGGACGGCTCATCTGTGCTTTGGTGCATCTTTCATCAGCCGGTGTCACCCTTGGTAGCCGGGTGCTGGCCAATTTCCATTTAACTTCCATTTAACGTATAGCCAAGGAGGCCCGTGATTTCACCTGTCTGACCCACCACAGATGGGTAGCTGGGCTTCACAGAAATGGAGGTTGAGTTCCCGGAGCGGTAGCCCAGGGCTGGTATGTTGAGAATTCCGTTTGGAAACCAGCGTTGTGCAAACCGGGGTTAGGATGTGGAAAACTCGCCCTCCTTCCAAACCCAGAAGCCTTCGTCTTGGTTTAGAAGTCCCTAAGCCAAGTCCCTACCCACATTCCACGCTGCTCCCTAATTTCACCCGGACCACAGCCTCTGGATGAGCTTCTGTTAAAAAGAGATGACTCGGTGACAAACAGGAGGACGGTGCTCAAATGACTGTGACACGTGCCGTGTATCTGCAAAGACCTGTGCCGTGCTAAAACCACACGCATGGCAGCCTCCCCCAAGCCAACCACCCGGGCCCACAGACAAGCATCTCCAGAGCGCGTGGGACCGTAGAGAAGGCAGTGACAGGGCCAGGGCAAGCCGGTTGGAGAAGTGGAACTTCAGTGGTAAGCCCAGACCTTTGGGACCCCTCACCCTGCCCGGTCCTCCTGCTGTGGGGTGTGAGTCCAGCCAGTGCTGGGAAGCCGGTGTGGCTAGGACAACAAAGACCAAGGACAGCGGGGAACGGTGGGGAGGGAAGAGGGTGGGAGACCAGAGTCAGAGGCGGACAGGGGTTCGATACGCCATTCAGGTCCCCAAAACAGCATGTGCAGCTCTCGTTAAATGGAAAAGGCCCTAATGTCATGGGAAAGTCTAACAATTTGTTAAACTTTGTTAGTGTACAAAATGTGGTGATCCTACTCGTATAAAAAAGAAAGTTCAAATGCGCAGAAGAAAGATCAGAGGACAAGATGCCCACGAATGATAAGCGCCTTTGCTGCCTCTGGGCGGGTCCGGGGGAGTCGCATTTCTTCCTCACTGCATCGCTGTATTTTCCAGATGTCCACTGAGGAATGAGCATTGCTTTTTAATTAGCAGCTGCCCCGAGTGCTCCAGCTGCCCTGCGTGTGGCTGTCTACACAGCACGCATTCCTTACCCCGGTGGTTTTCATCTGGACCCTGAGTCAGAATGGCCTGGAGCGCGGGTAAAACAGCTCGGGGCCAGCCAGAGCTTCTGAGCCAGGGCTGGGCCCAAGAACGTGCATTTGCGTTGTTCCCCAGGTGATGCTGCTGGTGACCCCGGGGACCCCGCCGTGAGAGCCCCGACACAAGTCGCGGTTTGTGGTGCTTTGGAGGAGTTTGCTCCTTAGAGTGAGGGGGATTGTTCTGCCCCAATGGCCTCTTCAGAGCTGCGAGACTGTGCCCACGCGAGGCAGTGGTCGCCACACCCACACTGCCGTGCTGCGCAGGTGAGGCCTGGTGCACGGAGCCCCTGGGGGACACGGCGAAGGGCCTTCTCCTGCCATCTGCTCAGGAACCCCTCCCTGGGCTTGGCCTCCATCTTGACAGGCAGGCGAGGAAGCCCCTGCTGACGCCATTTACAACTGCAAACCTCCCATTTCCTCCCAGGTCCTTAAAGCTCCACATCATAAAACGGATGTGCGCGTGAAGGAAACGTGGGTGTCCACAGAGAGCTCCCCCGGAGAAGGCCACGTCCACGGTGCCGCCTGACAGCAATGGCTTCCTCAGCGTTTGACGGGCAGGGAGAAGGGTGGGGAGGCCACAAGGACAGGAGAACTGGCGCTCGACATGGGGCAGGACGGGAGCAGGATGGGAACAGGAGGGGACAGGAGGGGGCAGGACAGGGACAGAGGAGAGACACGGGGCAGGACGGGGCAGGACGGGGACAGGCGGGGGCAGGACAGAGGGAGGACAGGGACGGAGGAGAGACGGGGGGCAGGAGGGGGCAGGAGGGGGCAGGGAGCCACGTCTTCTCCAATCCCATATGGGGCCATCTGCCACCCTCTGCCCAAAATGTACGATTCACCATGGCAAGGAGGCGAGAAGCGGGGAGATCCCTCTAAACCCAAATGAACACAGAGTGATGGGGCCCCAGCACCCCATCCACAGGCTCATTCCATTATTTGAAAATGTTTCTAAAAACTGAGCTTCTTTTCATCTTTGAATTGGCTTCTTGTCACAGAGCAGCTTTGCAGGCAGCCTGTTTCAGGTGTCCACACTTTGCAGAGGGCGCCTCTGCACAGAAGCGCACGAGTCCCAGATGGAGGGAAGCAAATCTCACCCAACTTTAAATATTTGTTTCTCCAAAGCTACGTGGTCACCCGTGCATGGTGACGGTGATGTTTGATTTCAGGTGACTTTGAGGCTGACCTTCCACACGGGGCCCTGCGTTTCTCTCCTCTGCACCTGAACCCTCCTAGTCTTTATTCTGGGAGCAGCGCGGGAGGCAGTGGAGACGTGGAAGCAGGCTCCGGCTGCTGGGCCTGCATGACCGGTTTCCCTGCAGAAGATTCTGCGCCCTTCAGCCTCACCGTCCTCACCTGGCCTGGGTGCTGCTGTGGGCAGGCGCTGGGCACGCTGGGAAGAGCAGGGCCAGCCGTTTGCAGGACGGGAGGCTGAGGCTGTGTGCACCTCCTGAGGGCTGGGCCACAGGTGGGCTCAGGCCTGCGCCCTCCCATGGCCGTGGCCTCTTCCTCGGTCCTTTGCCCTCCAGGGTGCCAGGCCTAGGCCTCCGCGCATCAGTGTGGTCAAAAGGCAGGACTGGTGTGTGGTGTTTCCTGACATTTTGTTACCTGTAGAGCCACTTAGAGAAGCACCGCTGCCGAGGTGGGAAAGCCGGAGTCCCAGCCAGTGGGCTGAGCTCAGGGTGCTGGGGTCCTGGGCCCAGACTCTGTGCTGGGACCTTGTTTGGAAATAGGGTCTTTCTAGAGGATCACATTTAGATGACGTCATGGGAGTTGGCCCTAGTCCAGTGTTGCTGGCATCCTTTTAAAGGGACATTCGGATGCAGACAGGCACTCATGGGGGTCGACGTGAAGGAGAGAGCCACCCACATCCAAGGACTGTTGGAGGCCACCAGAAGCTGTAGAGATCCTGGGACAGACCACCCTTACAGCCTGCCATGAGCTGGGGCGCGCGCACATGTGTGTAAAGCAGCACACATGCATGCCACAAAGCAGAGGCTAAGCAGTGCACACTGTGCACACTCTGCACACGCTCAGGCGGTGACACGTTGCAGACATCGCTGTGCTTCAGAAAGAGCTGGGCGGCAAGATTCACACAAGTAAGCATGTTGCAGACTCCCCAGCACACGCCCTCTCTGGCTTGTGCTCATATGAACATACTGTCACCCTCGTGCAGATGTGAAGATGTGCTCTCACTCATGCACGTACAGATCACGCCCTCTCGCTGGTGTACATGTGAACACATGCTCCCCTCATATATACAAATACACTCACTCCTTCTCCACCCTTGTTCACAGCAGCAGCCTGAGAAGACACAGAATTCCATGAATTGCAGCCCAGAGACCCCCCAGCCCTGCCGGCTCGCCTCCTGCCTCCCGCCTCCTAGCGTGCTCTGAGGTGGAGACCAGCTGCTGCCCCGTGCCTGCCCCGCCTCCCTGGGCCATGCTGCCTTGCAGACTCTGCTGCTCGGTGTGGTCGGGGGCCTGGGTCGGCCCCAGGGTGAATGAGTGATGGGTTCCACCCTAAACTGGCTGTGGAGACCTTCCACACACTTTCCTCCCCTCCACGAGCTCTAGGGCAGGGCAAGCTTGGAAGCCAAGGGCTGGCAGAGGCCGAGCCAGCCTGGATCTCAGAGTGGCCACACGGAGCAGAGCCACACTCCACCTCAGGACGCTGCACTGGATATGAGTGAGAAACAAACTTTCTTGGGTTAAGTTGTTAAGATTTCGGGGATGTGTTTAAAGTCCCTAGTGTTCTTTTTACTGTCCACTGCCTGTCTCCAGGAGGGGCCCGGGGGCAGGCACTGAAGCCCCCGCAGTCTACAGGCCTCTGGCACTCAGACAGGAGCTCTGCTCTCAGAAAAGCAGGCAGGCTGGCATTCGGCACATCCTTGGAAGCGGGTGGTGCGAGACTCTGCCCTCTACCCTCTGCCCTCTGCCCTCTGCCCTGGCGTTGAGTGCTTTGCTGGGACTGCGGCTCCCTGGCCCCCTCTCTTGCCCCACATGTGGATTCGCACAGACCCTGCAGCATCCCCCTCCCTTTCTCCTCCTCTTTTCTCTTTACTCAGGAATATCCCATCTTAGTTACGGGGCTGGGCACCCCAAGACCTCTCTCTAACAGGGGTCCCCACATCCAGGGCACTGCAGATGGGCTGCCGACCACATGCCTCTGGCCTCCGGCCAGTCTCGGGCCATTTGCTGACACCCCGGAGGCCGATGGGCCCTCTCGCTGCTCAAGGTGGAGGGAGGCTGTGCACCGGGGGTGTCGGCATGGGAGCGCTGTGTTCCGGGGGCGCCGCGGGTCCCTCCTCCCCAGGCTGCTTACGCGTCACACCAGCAGCTCTGATTTAAACCCAAATCCTTTCACATAAAACCCTTCACTTGTGCTCTTAGGAGAGGGTTTTGCACACGTCTGGCTCTGCTTCCCTTCTGCTGCATTTTGCTGGTGCGCTGGGGGTCTGTGTGTCTTATTCGGAGAAGACGTTGCTGCTCCCCCAAACGAAGAATCATGTCACAGGAAACCATGACAAACCCCCCTTTTGACTGTGCCTCCCAGCAGGAGAACAGGGAGCTGAGAAGACAATGAGGAGCAGGCTGTGGGGAAAGGAGAGGTCACTGAGGTCACATGAGTATCAGGCAGATGGTGCCACTGCCGGAGCCACCCCAGAGCCACCATCACGGCACCGTTTCATCCCATCCAGTCCTCCCCACGTCCTCAGGTGGCCAAAGACCACATTACACCACATCTGTCCTCAGGGAAAAGAGGAGAGAATGCATCTGAGAGGACCTGTCGACCAGGGACACACCCGACCTGCACAAAGCAGCATCTGGAGCTACGGCCGGGGCCATCAATGGGGTGAGGGGGCCAAGGAGAGCCCTGGCTGCCCTGCAGAGGGTGTGTCCGTGTGGCCTGTGTGCATGCACGTGTGTGTCTATGTGTAATGTGTGAGAGACGTGTGTGATGTGTGCATGTGTACATGTCTGTGTATGTGTGCATGTTTGGTGTGTGTGTGTAGCGTATGTGTGTGGTGCGTGTGTGTGGTGAGTGCACATGATGTTTGTGTGGTGTGTGTAGTGAGATGTGTGTATGTATCATGTGTGATGTGTATGTATGGTGTATATGTGTGTTATGTGCATGGTGTGTGCCTGTTTGTACATGTGTGATATATGTGTTGTGCGTGGGGCATGTGTGCGGTGTGTGTATATATGTATATGTTTGTGTCTGTGGATGTGTGGCATGTGTGGTGTGTGTGGTGTGTGCATATGTGGTATGTGTGTTGTGTGTACAGTGTGGGTGTGTGTAGTGTGTGTATATGTGTATGTGCATGTGTGGTGTGTGTGGTAGGTGTGTGGTGTGTGTGCATTCATGTGAAAGTGTGTGCACATGTGTGTTTGCATGCATGTGTATGTGTGTGCCCGTGCATGTGTGGTGTATGGTATGTGTGTGGTAGATGCCGGCAGTGTGTTGGTCATAGGGAGGGAAGGTGGAGGCTGCGGTCTAGCAGCAGAGAAACAGATGGGTGGTTTTTTCTAAAGCGTGGGAAATGACACGGGGGCTGTGTGGCCTCAGAGATGGGTGGGGTCATTGGGGAGCTGGATCAATAATCTGGACATTTGGGAAGATGTCTTGGGGGCCAGGTGCCCAAGCTACATCTTCAACGATGAGGAAGACAGGAAACGGGGAGGGACGTCTCAAGAGAGGGCGTGGCCTGAGCCAAGGAGTTCAGGTGGCAGCTTCCAGAAGGGCAGAGGCCACGACACCGAGGCCCCCAGCTGGTGCCTCCTGTGGCTGAGTGATGAGGGGCACTGGAGTCCAAGGCCCTGGGTGTGAGTCCCTGGGATGCTAAAATTTAATTTCCTCATGTGCCAAATGAAGACAATATAGTATTTACCCCTCAGGCAATTATTAGGAAGATTAAATGTTAATTTTAGAGAAAATGTAAAACATAAATGCTTTTGTGATTAATTAATTCATTAATTACGTGTGGAGAACCTCCTGGGTGCCAGGCACATGGCACTCCAGCCACAAACAGGAGAAGCTGGCCCGCCCTCCTCCAGCAGCCCTCGCCCAACACACCCCTCCTCTGAAACCAGCAAGGCCAGGCCCAGGCACCCGTGACAACTGCACCCCGAGCCACCTCTCAGGACAGGCCAGGCCCAGGCACCCATGAAATCTGCACCCTGAGCCTCCTCTCAGGACAGAGGCCATCAGCCCACGTGCCTGTGGGATTCTTCATTTCTGCCACTAAGCTGCCCTGTGGACACCACTGGCCCCAGCCCCCCAAACACCTGCTGGGCCTGGGTCCACAGTGGCCCACCTGCACCCGCTCAGGGTGGCCTGGGCAGCCCCCTTCGGAAGCCCAGGGCTCTGCTGCCTGGGAGCTCCAGCACCCAGGGACGCGCTCATTTGGCGCTGGGTCTTCCAAAGTGAGCCCTCACCCCCATGCCTCATCAGCATGGCCCTGACAGGGACAGGAGTGTGGTAGAGGACTTGGGTTAATAAGTGAGATTTTTAACAGGCTCCGCTCAGCTGGCTCTGTCGGCTCGAGTCTGAGCCCATCCGTCAGCGTCAATTAGGAAGCCTCAGCTCAGAACGCAACACCAGGGGCTGCGCAGAGGAAGAAGCGCGAGGGCGCCCTGCAGGCTCACAGCGCCTGAGCACACACCGAGCGGCCGCAGCACAGCCCTCCCTCCCGCCCCAAGCACACACCGAGCGGCCACGGCACAGCCCTCCCCGCCCCAAGCACACACCGAGTGGCCGCAGCACAGCCCTCCCGCCACAAGGGTACACCAAGCGGCCACGGCACAGCCCTCCCCACCCCTACCTCCTTTTGGCAGCGCAGGTGCATTCAGGGGAGCGTGCTGGATGGGAGGGGGCTCCCTGTCACGTCTCCTGGAAGGATGGGATCCCTCTGCACGCCCCATCACCCGCCCACCCACTGCCAGCCATGGGCACACACACAATATTTGTGTATTCATGAACACGCAAAACACACTCACACATGCGATCACACTGCATGACCCCCCCCACACCCACACATGCAGTCACACACACGCACACAACAGACACATGCTTATGTGCACACACACAACACACCTGCACTAGCCCAGGCACTCACACATACATGAACACAGCAGACCCAAACACGTTCACACGCACAACACACCCACACACACAGAGGCACTCCACACACACATGCACACACACACCCACAGTCACACATGCACCACCACACACATACAGCAGATCCACAATGTATATGCACACACACAACACATCCACACTCACACATGCACTCCACATACATGCACACAGCAGACCCCCACACACGCACACACATATAGAACACCCACACTTATGCACTCACATATATATGAACACAGCAGACCCACACAGTCACACACCAACACATTCACACATGCAATCCACACATGCAGCAGACACACACACGTGCACACACCACACCCATGTCACACACAGCAGACCCACACACGTTCACACACACAACACAGTCACATATGCACTCAAACATACATGCACACAGCAGACCCATATATATGCATATTCAAACACACAACACATCCACACTCACACATGCACTCCACACACCTGCACACAGCAGATCCCCACACACATGCACACAAACACCCACACTCATACACGCACTCACAGCAGATCCAACACACGCATTCTTACACATGCACACAGCAGACCCACACACGTGCACACACACGCACACACACTCATACATGCACTCACAGCAG
>NT_187572.1:0-145606 GCF_000001405.40 Homo sapiens
CATCCACTGCCTGAAATAAATTACATTTATAGCCTAATTAACAGTGGTTTTCCACCAACACTGTTAAATTTCATGTTTCAAATGAAAATATCTGATATAGGTGTACAGTACATTTCGAATCTTTATAAAAATTCTAAAATGGAAGTAGAAGGCGGGAACAATGTAAAGTCAGCTGGCTTTAAATTCAGAGTGACAGCTGACAGGGGTTTCTCAGGGATAACTGACATGGCAGAGGCCACCCTGGGAGTCACAAGCTCCGCCTTCTGTAACACAGGCATTTCTCTCGGAAGAGATTTACGTGATCCCAGCCTCACGACCTGAAAGCCAGGAATCAATCTGCTGGCACAGCGTGCAGGGACCACAGAACCCCAAGGCCTCTGGGTCTTCAGCCTCTAGGATTTCTGCAATTCCCCTGCACGCCTGCTCAGGTGCCACACGAGCAGATTCGAGAGGGGTGGTTCCCAGAACCATGCAGACCCATGTGTTGTGCGGTTTGTCATTGCACTCCAATCTGTACCCTGGTGTGTTGTGCATTGTGCGGCTTCTCTGTGCGCTCCCATCTGTACCCAGGTGTGTTGTGCGGTTTGTCAGTGCACATGCCAATGTCCCAACACCCTCCTGAGGAGCTTCCCCATAGACCACCTAGGCAGGTCCCAGACTCACCTCCCACCGGGAGCCCAGGCCCTGGGGCCACTGCCTGGGCTGAGAGCCCGACCCTCGGGGCTTTGCCACACGAAAGCCCCAGGCCTGGCGAGGCTCAGGGAGGCCGTTTCAACCGTGAAAACTTGGGTTTCTGCCCCACCCCAGCCCTGGCTGTTTGAGCCGTCATCCAACAGCGGGCTCCCACATCGACCAGGCTCCGATCCTGCCCCATCCACCCTCCATGCCTCACTTTTCTCCCATTTTCCTTGTACTCCACCATCATGACATCTCTTGGGGCAGTTATTTTTTGGAACTGCAGTAACTTGGGTCCAGTGTTCTCAGGGTGACACTGAGGTCATTCACTTCTGCAGAACTGCAGATGGGCGCTGGTGCCCACATCTGGCTGAGATGCTTCTCTCAGCTGACGCCCGCGGTCGCCCGCAGGTGCTGTGAGGTCTGCTGGGTTTCTCCCTGCCAAGCGACTCTCTTTCCTTCATAACCAACAAACACTGTGGAGGAGACACCGCGGGACCAGATCCTTTTCCTCCTCAATCTCACCCACTAATTCTGGCATCCGCTGGTGGGTCCTGGCGGTGGCAGACGTCGCTGTGGGCTCCTCAGTGGCTTTCCTTCCTCACTCCTTCCATGTTTATCACGTGGAATTTTGTACTGAAGTGCCCACACTTGCACATGTATTGAATTATTACCTTTGTGCTATTTAATACTTTAAGGACTCGTAGATGTTTCATTCGTTCCAAGGACCATCACCCTGTACTGTCCGGATATACTTTGTTGCTCAAATAGTCCCAGCACTGGCCACAGGGTCCACCGCAGTGTGGACCCAGCGCCCTCCAGCATGGACCTGGTGCCCTCCAGCCCACCCGGCCCTCCCATGAGCACACAAGGCCCTACAAGGTACCGCAGGCTCATCTTGTATTTTCTCTGCCTAGGCCTGGAACCAGCCCCTTCTCCAAGAAGACCAACATTTAGAAAGCAGAACGCGGCCCTAGACGTGCACCTTGCTCCTCTTGTCTTCTGAACACAAAATCTCATCATGTCAGTCCTTGAAAATCACTGACTGCTCTGCACAAAAGAGGACTTGGAGGAAGAGGAATGTCCTGGACACCCTCAAAGACAAATGAGACCTCTGAGAGGCAAATGCAGGCCGCGCAGACATACCAACGGCAGGACGCCGAGGTGCCCACGAGGAAGGACGAGGAAACACACCTGCCCCACGCCAGCGTCACCCACGGACATGACCGATGGCAGAACGCTGAGGTACCCACGATGAAGGACGAGGACGCATGCTGGCACCGCGCCAGTGTCAGCCACAGACACACAGGATAACAAAGCTGATAACTGGGATAATCAGGATGCCAGGAAGAGCATGCAACTACTTAAGAATGCAGGAAAACAGGCTGCTTAAAAATCTTAAGCAAACAATACAATTTTAGTATACAATTTTAGTCCTTAACGTTTAAATCCCGAGTTTTCATATGGAGGGTGGGAGTGGGAAGAAGGCCGTAGGGATTTGGATGTGCTAATTCACGACGGTCAACACATAAAGGTCTGTACAGTTTACAGCCACGGGAAAGACAATGTCCCTTTTCAAATTCAAACTTGAGCACGGTCGTCAAAATAAACTAAAGCAAAAAGAAAACCTTTCAGCAGCCTAAGCTAAACTGGTTTAAGTATCATGAATCCCTATGGCTGAAGGGGCTCCATGTTGCATGGGTGTTCTAGAACCTAGTGAAGGAAAACGTCTTTCCCAGTGGCCCACACACTCCTGGAGGTCACCGTATCTGCTCCTTCGCTGGAATGAGCCTGAAGCCACTCTGACCCCTGCTACTTCTGGTAAGCCTTGTCACAGAAAAGACGAGCACGTCCCGCACAATGCTTCACTCACAGGAGTTACAGCATGATTTTGATATTAAATATTGGCAAAGGCTGGTTTTGTGTCATATTATCCATGACCCATGAATTACTCATAAAGTGTCCTGTAAACAGGCACAAAAACAGATGATCTCAAATAGATGTCAAAATGGATATCTCATTATAAAGCGGGAGATTTTTTCTTCAACAAGAATTATAATAAATTTTAACTCAGTTTAATACAAATATCCAGGTATCTAAAAATAACTTTGCTGACAAATAATATGTCTAAATATTTACAGCTGCTAAAATAGAAATAATAAAGTATTTTTTAAAAAATATAATTTTAACTTTTTAAAATCAGTTTTTAAAAGAGCAAAGTTTAAAATGCAAAATTGAATATTAATAATTACTTTCCACCAGCTAATATTGCTGGCAGATTCACAGACGAGCTTCACTTCCTCCCAGCCCCAGAGATGAGAGCATGGAGGTTGGGGCTGGGAGAGACCTCACGGACACGGCGCCACTTGGGTTTAGCATCTGAGCTGACAAGCGCCGAGCGTGCGGCCCCCACACACCTGGCCCAGGCACTCAGGGCCTTTACCACCAGTGCTCACACTGTTTATTTACACAGAAATAATCAGCTGTTTTAGACCAAAACCACACTGCATGGCACTGATGCCCTTGCTGGTTCTTGGAACCGTCAGAGGAATGACACAAGGACCCCACGGACTGCTGGTGGTTTCCTGCAGATATGGACACGATTCTGTAAACACAGCCTGTCTTCCAACGGGCCAGCTCTACTTCGCGACTAATACCAAAAGCAGAACATAAACGAAAGGTTTTTTCCCTCCAGAATAACCAGGACACAGTGAAGCATTTGTCATTTTTGGTTTGTTGAAATGCTCGTTTTTGATCCAATGTGTTTTTACCTAAGTGTGTGTACGCTTATGAGCTCTAGATAGAGGCTGACAAAAATCAAGTTAGAGGTTAAAAGCCTCTTTTCTGTTTAATTCACAATGTGTTGAAAACAAAAGGAACCCACAAAAACAGAGCTGGACCAGCTGGTGCAGCAGGAGCTCCCGGAGCCCCCGATGCTGCATGGCCCAAATGAAAATGCCTTGCAGTCACGACGACTCCGTGTCTGTCAGAAGCCTGAGGCTGGTTCCATTCTCCTTCCCACACCTCATCAACGTGCTCCCCTTCCAGCAGCAAGAGCAAGTTTTAACTTGAAACTCTAGTGCCCATCAAAAAGCAATCACCGGAAAATAAAAAGGCAGAGGACGGAGTGTTTAATGCCAATCGAAAAAAAAAACCTGCAGGAAAACAAATAAATGACGAAGCAGGCCAAGCAATCAGCACCGAGAAAAAGAGAGACACAACAACAAAAGGCCAAGGCCCAGAAAAAACACCCCGTCTGAAATTCACATGCCGCAACACCCAGCAGAAATGAGTCCCTTTCACAGGGGAATTAAGTCACTTCGGTATAATTCTCAGAAAGGACTGCTGCCTACACTTGCTATTTCAAATAAAAGACACAGCCAAATACCAATAAAATCTTTCAGTAAAGTGTTCTATGGAAATTACACACTTAGGAAAAACTGTAAATATATGTAGCTCACAAAGAAACAAAGTTTGACCACTGGAAGTGAACCTATTCAATTCTAAACTCTTCCTAAATGCAGTTGCTGAATTTAAAATCTAACAGTTGGGTATGCGACTCCTGGTGCTGGAAGAGATTAAAATAATGATCATTCGTGATTCTCTAAAATTTCAAAACTTTTGCTATCACCCTTATAAACTGGTGTCTGTTGGAAAAGTGTGACTTTCAGAGAAAATACGTGTACAGCTTATTTGGGAATGTGAAGAATGAGATCAGTTCAAAAGGACCTATTTCAAAATGTGGCTGCTCAGGAGAAGCTGTAAAACCGATAGGACCACATGCTTACAGGAATTCATTAAAATAAGAGAGACCACAAATATTCACGAGTGACTTTACAATGTAAAGCCACTGCAGGAGAAAAACATACTGACTTGGTTTGGATGTGTCCCCTCCAAATCCCATGGTGACATGTGAGCTCCAGTGTTGAAGGTGGGCCTACTGGGAGGTGTCTGGGCCATGGGGCAGATCCCGTGGGAATGGCTTGGTGCCCACCTCATGGTGATGAGCTCTTGGAGATCTGGGTACTTAAAAGGCCGGGACCTCCACCTTCTCCCGCTCTCCCTCCCTCACCATAGGACGCTGGCTCCCCTCTGCCTTCCCCAAGAGTGGAAGCTTCCCGACGGGGCCTCACCAGAAATGGGTGCTGGCGCCATGCTCCCTGTACAGCCTGCAGAACCGTGAGCCCAGCAAACCTCTTTTCTTTATAAATAACCCGGCCTCCGACATTCCTTTACAGCAATGCAGAACAGACTAACACTCACAGAGAACAAAATCAGTTTATAACATTCCTTTTTAGTTTCCACTTAATAGACTTACAAACAGAAAAGTGATTAGATTTTCAAACAAGAAATAATCATTAGTAGAAATTTCCACCATGGCCAGCTTGGAGGTGCTTGCTCCCTGCCTCCTTCACCTGTCATATTAGAGAAATCTCTCAAAACATTTCCACTAAAACCACAAAACACACACAAACCACATTATTTCATCAGTTTAGAGAAAATACCAAATTCTGCTCTCTCAGTGAACAGCAGCTCTAGCTGATCTCTTTTTCATCCTACATCTGCCTGTCTCATTGTAATAGGCATTTTAAATTTAACATTTATTAGGGTTATTGTATTTTCTGGAAATCTGATTGTTTCAATTTTCTTTTTTCAGTAAAAACTAAGTTAAATGCCTGCTGAAAATATGCTGGCCCAGCCACAGCTTTCTTTAAAATGATAATCACTGTGGGATTTTTTTTTCATTTTATCCCTATAATGAGGCAAGGTATTTAGCCTTTGACTATAATCTAGAAATAAAGGAATAAACTGGTAATAGAATTACATCACTTCACAAGAAAGAAAAGCTCAGTATGTTAATTCAATGAGTAGTAGATTCTTGAGGAGTTTCGTAACAGAATGACAAATGGAAAAATAATTGGCTAATACTTAAGCAGAAGTGGGCAAGCTTTCTGAAATATCAAAAAGAAAAAACAAAAAACAAGTGCTCGACACCAAACCAGAAATAATCCTCAAATGGGACATCACCAGAACCTCACGCCATGACCGATCTGACATGGGATCCTCACGTAGGAGGTGAAAATACACCAAATGATCATTTTCTACTGGAACTCTAACCCTTCAACAAAGAAGAAAGCCGGGCACCTGCAGGCCAGCTGCTCAGGATGCTGCGTCAGGAGGATTACTGGAGAACCAGCCCGGACAACATAGTGAGATCCGATCTCTACAAATAAAAAAGGAGAAGAAAGAAAATATTCCACGCAAACTTTGCCCAGAGTTTCTCCTTGTAGTTTTTTAACCAGCATTTGTCGTATCACGAAGCGTTCACAAACACCTTACCTTCACGGGCGGCTGCAATAGTTTTCATTAAGCACTGGTAAACACACCCAGCGGGATGCGAGCAGCCCA
This sequence comes from Homo sapiens, assembly GCF_000001405.40. Taxonomy (NCBI): domain Eukaryota; kingdom Metazoa; phylum Chordata; class Mammalia; order Primates; family Hominidae; genus Homo; species Homo sapiens. The sequence goes on from NT_187572.1 coordinate 6,085, forward strand.
GGGGCTTCCGGAGAGGCCGGCACTGCCCCGACGGGGGCGGGACCTCAGAGCAGCCCACTCAGTTCTCGGAGTCAGTTTCTCACCAAAACAAGGCTGGGCTAAAACACGCTGAGAGGTCATTGGGAAGGCCGTTCAGCAAGCTGCTTTATGAAAATCAGGAGACACCAGATAAACTACACCTTTTACTCCAATATTGTTATTTTTTCCACTTTCATTAAACATTGGCTTTTTCCTTAGATAGGTCCTGAATTCAGCCCAAAGAACTTGCAACCCATAAGGGATTCCACACCGACAAGCCCCGTGTTGTTTGCACGGGCAGGTTACGCTCACTGAGGAACGCTATCAAAGATGTGGAACCCAGAACCCGGGAAGCAGCTGTACCTCCTGCACCCACGCCGCCTGGCCCGGACCACGAGGGAGCCACGGCTGCCCCATTGTGGCCTCCTGGACCCCACTTCTTCCCTGCGCCAGCCACGAAGGACCATGTGGTCCTTTTCGGGTGCTGTGGTTTCTCGTCCCACACCCTGACGCAGTGATGCCTGCTCACCTGCTGACCCCTCCGGCTTCTGTACCTGCTGTCCCCTCCGGCTTCCTGTCTGCTGTCCTCTCTGGCTTCTTGTCTGCTGTCCCCTCCAGCCTCCGTGCCTGCTGACCCCTCCGGCTTCCTGTCTGCTGTCCCCTCCGGCTTCCGTGCCTGCTGTCCCCTCCGGCTTCCGTGCCTGCTGTCCTCTCCGGCTTCCTGTCTGCTCTGTTCTCACAGGCACAAGGGTCCCCTACCTCCGTGTCTACTGCACCCAGCGGACAGGACCAGCGGCAGTGACCAGCTTGTGACTCCATCAGAACCTTGCATGTGATCGGTCACCTGGCTGGGTCCTCACGGTGCTGCCGCCCACTTTACAGATGAGCCACCTGAGCATTAGTAGAGTGAGCTCTGAGGCAGCAGCCCAGCAGGACTGACCTCGGTGGCCATCCCCATCGAGACCTAGGCCTGCTGTGCACTGAGGCGCCAGCCGTCAGGGATGGGCACATTGGGCATCCACCACCTCCTCGGCCCACTTCCCTCTCCAGCTGTACACCAAGCACGACTCTCTCCCAACCTGCAAGCAGCCGAGACTGCAGCTGCCCCCATGTCTGAGCAGCTCCTGCAACCCTCCTCCAGCCGTCGCAGTACCGCATCTCTTCATCCCCACGTGCTCTGGCCTTGCCATCCCTGCACCTGCCCTTCCCTGCTGGGGCCGACCCTCACCCCCCAACCTCACCATGCACCAACACTCCCGCAGGACCTGGCTGGCACGGCGCCTCTTCCTTTGCCAGGATTCTCTAAACCTCCCTGTTCCATGAGGCTGATTCCTTCCTTCTTCTCTCCCCTCCTTCGTTCATTCATTCAGTCATTCACTTGGGAAGCGCTCCTGAGCACGTTGTCCTTCCTTGAAGATGGGAAAAGAGGTGCCAACTCCTGTTCTGGAGGAAGGATTCTACCACATCTGAGTAGAAAATGTCAAAGCCACATGTGTCAATGAACACAGCCCCACTTCTCCTGCAGCACAGCAATGACTCCTGTCCAGTTCTGCACACAGTCCCACACACGGGGCCAGAATGAAAGTCGGCCCCAACAGAGTCACCAGGCACCCAACCAGACCAACGCCATGCTGTAAGAAGAAAAAGGGGCCTCTTTCCAATGGAAACAAATCTGAGCCAGCATCTTCAGCTCTGGGACTCCAAGGGAGAGGCAGGTATCACAGGCAAGTTGCAGGGTACAGCTGGGAGATGCACACACCACACAAGGACACACACAGACACGCATGTACAAACACGCCACACGCAGACACGTGTATGCAGGCACACAACACACAGGCGCACATGCATACACAGGCGCACATGCATGCATAGACACACAGGAAAACACACAGACACACATGTACACCCATGCCACAGGCAGACACGTGTACACAGGCACACAACACACAGGTGCACACACATACACACACAGGCACACATGCATGCACATATACATAGGCAAACAGCCAGACACTCATGTACACACACACCACACACAGACACGTGTACACAGGCACAAGACACACAGGCGCACACACATACACACACAGGCACACATGCATGCACATAGACACAGGTGAACACACAGACACACATGTACACAAGTGCCACACACAGACGTGTACACAGGCACATCATACACAGGCACACACATGTACACACACAGGCACACACAGGCAAACAGATATGCATGTACACGCACACCACACACAGACACATGTACACATACACACATACATGAACATGGACACATGGACACACACCACACATGCACAGACACAGACACCACACAGGCACATACGTATGTACACAGATACACATGCACACACATGTACACACACATCCCAGACATGCATGTACACACAGACCACATGCAAAACACACATACATACACCACACAGGCACATACACATGCACACACGTACACATACACATACACACACGCACACCACACAGGCACACACATGCATGCACACACATACACCACTCAGGCACATACACATGCACACACGTACACATACACATACACACACGCACACCACAAAGGCACACACATGCATGCACAGATACACACCACACACACCTGCACAGATGCACACAGACATGCATGCACACATACACCAGACACGTGTGCACAAAGGCATACACAGACACGTGCACACATAGGAACAGCGGCACACATACATGCATGCACATTGACAATATGCACACACAAGCTCACAGACCCACACCTACACACAGACATCTCTCCCGGACTACCAGAGCTGCAGGAACTGGCACCAGTGCCAGCACCGTGGACAGCGCCAGCGATTCCTGGCGTGTGAAGTTGGGGCAATCCACTCCCTGAGGTGCAGGAGAAACCAGAAGATGACAGGGAGATGGTGAACAGGAAGTGTGACTGCTCACAGCAAGGCACTGGCAGCTCCAACTTCATCTGAGGAGTCTCAGGAAGACAGAGGCCGCCTGCCTGCTGCAGACCCCTTGGCCCTGGAGGATGCACCTGCAAGGGCGAGTGAAGCTGTCCTGTGCGTGCAGCAGTCACAGCAAGAATGGATTCTTATTAAAAAGCATCCAAGCATCCTGCGCTCCAGCACATGTTCCCCAGGCTGACACCAGGCTGGGTGCCTACCAGGAGGAGGCCTCTGGGACAGGGCTCTGTGGCCTTCCCTACAGAAGGCCCAGCCGGGCCAGCAAGGCCGGGCCAGCAGCATGGTGCCCTTGGAGCTCTCTCCTTGACGCGAGCGGCTGGCACCACTGGACCACCTTGATGGGAAACTGCAGGACAAGGAGTCAAAGGACTGGCCTCAGGGTGCAGTGAGACGAATGCAGGGGGCACTGTGGGGCAGGGACTCTGCTTAAATCCAGGGGCGCATCCTCCCACCACACACACAGCAGCAGGCGGTGAGGACAGGCCTCATGCAGGGAGACAGGGAGCGGCCGGACAGCCTGGCACTCCTCTGACTGCTCAGGGCTGGGCCCTGGGACGGGGCTCCCGCCTCCATGAGGCTGTGGTCCTCACCCCAGCATCTGAGGATCGTCTCTGCCAAGCAAACCCCACACAAGCTTTGCCTCCTCCGGAAATGTCCCTGAAGCACACATGGAGTCAGGGAGAGGGCCAGAGCCAAATCCCTCACAATGACCAACCACCAGGGAGGAGGCTCCGCCAGCCCAACAGCAAGACTCCGCCCAGGCAGCAGGGACACAGTAAGCGTTTCAGGAAGGAAGCAAGGAGCAAGTCCTGTATGGCTCTGCTCACCAACACGAGATGTCCTGACAGGCACTGGGAACCGTCCAGGGAGGAGGAGGCAGCAAGGCTCAACCTGGTCAACGCCAGATGCAGTCACTCCTTCCAGGAGTCACCCGGGCAGCTCCTAAGGTCCTCACCCATCGCAGCAGGCCCCTTCCTCGAGGAGCACGCAGTCCCTGGGAGATCTGTGACACTGGGGGCCTCCCCAGTCCACTGCAACCCCACTCCAGGCTCCCCTGACCGCTGGCTACCCTATATGCCAGAAACAGCCCGACCTGAGCTAGCACTTAATTACATGCCAGATATTCACCCAATCTCCCTGGGTAGAATGGAGGCCATAGTGCCCTTCCCCTTCCTGGGACCCTCTTCAATTAGGAGAGCAGTTCATGGTCGGAGCTGCACAGCACCTCTCAGAGGCTTGCAAAGTAGGCCCAAGAAATATCCTCCGGTGCTATACTTACACTAGCATAACATAGAGCACATTTGAGGAATTTTTACTCAAGTGGTGCTGCTTCAAAGGCAATACATTCTTCTCATTAATCCTGCAGAGTTTTGCTACACATTGTTACAGGGAAACTGTCACATTAGCAGATTATATTGCCTAGCAGAAACAATCTACTTCCAGGAAAAAAAAAATGCTTAGAATCACTGTTTAGCCTGACTGCCAACCTTTCCACCTCATGTTTCTTGGTCTGTGCCAGGGCCAGGCAGGGGAGAGTATGGGCCCCTGGATGTGTCCTCTGTCAGCAAGCACTGCCCTAAACCCAAGCACAGCCTCAAAGCACAGCAGAGCTTCACTTAGCTCGGGGAGGGAGGGATACCGTGCCTGATTCGCTGCCGCAGCCAGGGCCTGAGGGGCTCTGCCACACTCAGCAGATGCTCCGCCAACATCCGGCGGTGAATAAACGACGCCAAGTCAGTTCTGTGTGGGGTCTGCTCCAGGAGAGGCACACCTGCGTCTTGTGGCACCTGCCTCCTCTCCCACCATCAACAACAGCGCCCAACCCCCACCTGCAACCACCCCATGACCCTGAGCTGGACCTTGGGAAAACAGACATCCCTGCAAGGGGACACGCCAAGCTCCATCCCCTCCTCCTGCGGCACCTTCCCCTAACTTCACTCGTTGCAAGCCACGCAGAAGGGAAATGCTCTGAAGAAGACACACACTCCAGTTTCCTGCTCCATCAGGTCACAAATGCTGGGAAGTTTTATTCCAGCTAAATCCTCCCTTCAGTGCCTCTCAGAGCCTAAGTGCCACTCAGCCGATGGGCTCTTCAGGTGATCTTGAGGAAGACACACAGAAAACTAATATTTTCTTTCCCACCTACATTTTATAAACTTTTGGGATTTATTAATCTATCCTTCCAACCACAATGTCCTTAAACAACGTAAATTTACTTGACCATTCTGTCACATATCCAATAGGAAAAAAAGGCTGTTTCGAGGGAAGGTGATTAGTGAATGACTAAAACAATTAACAGCTTTCATTCACTTTAATTTGGTGAATGGAGAAAGGTTTTTTTTTTAAGTTGATTAGGTACATTACAGATGCTATAATAATTTCTTGCATAGAGAAGAGCATTTATTCCAGGCTTAGAAGAGTGCAAACATTTGAAGGAATGTAAGAGAAGAGTGTGTTGTGGTTTAAAACAAGGAGAAAACCTGCAGTAGCAAGAAGCCCCCCACCAAGAAGGCAGGCACAGCTTTGCAGGCAGCTGACCGTCAGGTCTGCTCCTAAGAACCTCGACACTGAATTCACAGCCTGCCAGCCCTGCTTCCAGGAGAGGGTCATGAACAAGGTATTTCTGGTGCTCATTAACATACGTGAATGTCCATTTTAGAGCCTAGCATGTGACTGCTTAAAAACTCTTAGGTCATTTTTAACCTGTGAGCTGATCAGGTGACAATTCCCTGGTCCTGAAGGAGAGGGGGAAGCCCACGTGCAGTGTGTCCCTGAAAAGGAAGACTTGAGACCATATTTTTCTCCACATTCTGCCTCACTGAGAAATTTTTTCTTTTTAAGCAATTGTTTTATAACTATAGTTTGCCATTATCTTTTCATTTCAAAGGGAAAAACATGATTATCAGTTTTAAACATAGAGAAGGAAAAAAATTCATCAGCGCCTGAATTAATCCAAGTAACACGAGATTCATGTCAAAAACCGCCACTCTTTTCATTATGATGATGATTACACGGTGAGGGTAATGAGCTGGGGTTTGCAGGAAGCAGGAGCACGCTTTATTTTCTAACACTTCCGTTCTAAGGCACGGCCAGGTTAACCAATTCTATTTATTCTCCTCCTGTCTTTGGTACTAATGCTATCACAGAATTTAATAAGCACTAGGATGCGCCCCACACCTTAGGTCCACTGAAGGTAAACACCATGACCTCCGTCTCTCAGATGAGGACACAGTGGCTCTGGGAGGTTCTGCTGTACTTTTCGGTGAGGCTGCCGGAGCCGGCTGCAGCCCCACCCCGGAGCCCTGGGCTAGGACCCCTCTGAAGAGCTGAGCGGCTCCTACTCACTCACCAACAGGGGCTCTGCTAAGAACACGAATCCCTGGCTGGGCTCGCCTCCGCCCAGGACCCCAGACACCAGGTGGGGCCTGGCAGGGCCGGCCCGACCAGCAGCCATGCAAGCAACAACACGGGCGAGGGGTGGGCCGCGGTCCGGGGTAAGAGCGGGGGATGGGTAGGGACTGGGGTGGAGGTGGGGAGTCGGTCTGGGTTTGGGGTGGGGCCTGGAAAGGGGCCGGGGTCGGGGTCCCGAGTCAACACCGCGGTCTGAGCCGAGAGCCGGGTCTGGGGTCTGGGCAGGCCTCCGCACCGCACCCACCTACCGTGCTTCCTGTGCGCCGCCATGCGGGACCCTGCCGCGGACCTCAGACCACGGCGCGCGGTCCTGAGCTGAGCGCCGTGCCTTCCGGGTTCCGCCCTCCTGGGTCCGCCCACAACAGCAGGAATGCCCAATCCGAATACGGGACCCCGCCACGGGCGGTCAGTCAACTACATCACGGCCGTAGATTGGCTGATATCGAGTCTGTAGGCGTGTCGCGAGGCTCCAGACCCGCCTCTGGGAGCCCCGCTGTGGAGCATGCGCGGAGGGAGGGCTGCGGGGGCGGCGGTGCGGGCTCTTGGGGACCTGAGGACGCTGTGAGAGCGCTGGCGGCGACTGCTCTACGCGGTGGCGGAACTCTGGGGGCGAACGCTAGGGAGGGCGTTGTGGAGAAGAGGGGAACGGAGGGCCCCAGAGGAGAGGCGCCCACCCCCAACCCCACGGGTGCACCTGCGGATCCCCAGTCCCCGCTTCGCCCCCAGGCACCCGCCGGACACAGGGAATGGCCAGGGCAGTGCCCCCGGCCCCAAGGCACCTGCAGGATACAGGGAGTGGCTAGGGCGGTGTCCCCGGTCCCCGGGCACCTGCGAGACACGGATAGTGGCCCTGGCTGTGACCCCAGCCCCCAGGCACCTGGAGGATATAGGGAGTGGCCAGGGCGGTGACCCCTAGCCCCTAGGCACCTGCTGGATACAAGGAGTGGGCAGGGCGGTGTCCCCGGCCCCCAGGCACCTGCAGGATACAAGGAATGGCCAGGGCGGTGTCCCTGGCCCCCAGGCACCTACAGGATACAGGGAATGGCCAGCCGGTCCCCAGACACCTGCTGGACACATGAGTGGCCAGGGCGGTGACCCCAACCCCCAGGCACCTGCTGGACACAGGGCATGGCCAGGGCGGTGTCCCTGGCCCCCAGGCACCTGTGGGACACAGGGAGTGGTCAGGGCAGCGGCCCCCACGTCACCCCGGCTTGCCAGACCCCTTCTTGTCTCCCTGTCCAGCTCCAAGGGCCTCTGCCCTCCCGCTCCACCCCCTCAGGACCCTCCTCCTTGAATTCGTTTCTTCCAAAACATTTCCCAGGTGTGTGCCAGGCGCTGTTCCTCATGTGGGCTGTCTCAGGAGAGGAACCCACGGAGATGGGTGTTTTGGAGGAAAATGAAGCTGGTAGGGCCTAACTGTAGAGTGATGGGCGCGGGCTTGAGGTAGGTGAGGGAGCAAGACTGGGGGTGCCCAGGGAAAGAGAGCCCACAGGAGGGAAACGATGTCCCAGGAGAACGGCTGCCCTGTTTGAGTTTGGGGACCAGAAGCAAGGGCAGGATAAGGGGAGCTCAGATCAGGAGGAAAGGAGACCCAGACCCAGGCAGGGTCTGCAGGGAGCCTGATAACTTTGCATGTTCCAAGAAGCAGGGTGGAAAGTTGTTACACGATGTAGAGCAAAGGGGTGAAATGATCTGATGCATTTTCTTTCTTTTTGGGGTAGACAGGGTCTCACTCTGGCCCAGGCTGGAGTGCAGTGGTGCCATCACAGCTCACTACAGCCTCCAGCTCCTGGCCTCCAGCAATCCTCCCACCTCAGCCTCCCAATGTGTGGGATTACATGCATGAGCCACTGTGCATGGCCTGATGTACATTTTAAAGAAGTCATTTAGCGTTGTGATGACTAGAGTTGCATGGAAGGAAGTGTGGAGATTTCATCTGCTGCAATAAGAGATGCTGACAGCTCACATCCAAGTGGTGGCACTGGAGGTTCTGGGTGGGGGGGCTAGTTGGATTGTGGACATGTTTTAAGGTAAAGCCAAAGAGATTTTCCGATTGATCAAACTGGGCTGTGACAGAAAAGGAGAAATGTAGAATGGCTGTAAATTTTTCGTTTGGAAACTGGAAGGCTGGAGTTGCACTGAGGAGGTGGAGAGCCTTCTGGGGATCTTCGTTTGGTGGTAGTGTGCAGTTTTAGACAGGTCAAGTTTGAGGTGCTCATAAGATGAGTAAGCATATGAGGTCATGAAGGGAGCAGGCGTGAACTTTAGAAAGTGGTCCAAGGAATAAGCCCCGAGGGGCTCTGGCCTTTGAGAGGTGGGGAGATGAGGGGGCCCAAGCTGTGGTACATGAAGGGTGGCCAGGGAGAAAAGGAAGGTCCTGAAGCCAAGTCAAAGAACGAACCACTGGTCTCCAATGATGTGGATGAAGCAAGAGGAGGACCAGTGATGTACGGTTGCATTTGTAAAGGGCAGAGGCCATCAGGGATCTTGGTTACAGGAATTTTGTTGAAGTGGTAGAAGCAGAAACTTGATGGAAATTCATAGAATTTCGAGGAAAAGTTAGACATTGACTGTACACCATTCTCTGGCGGGACCATGCAAATGGGGCAATAACTGGAGGGTTTTTGAAGACAGAACACATACACACACACACACAGACAGAGAGAGAGAGAGAGAGAGAGAGAGAGAGAGAGAGAGAGAGAGAGATAATTTGACCTGATCAAATTACTGTTGAAAATGAGTGATGCAGGAGGGGAAATAATCCCTGTAATGAGGCTGCATCTTGAACTTGTTCTCCACTTCATCATTCTCACCAGCACTCAAGCCCACTGTGGACGCCCCCATAACAAAATCCTCCCAGGAAATAATGTATTTTTCTCCAGCCCTGTTTCTTCAATCTCTCCCACACTCAAACTGGCGGAAAGAGTTGATTACAAAGCCCGTCTCCACTTTGACGTCTTCCATGGACTCTGTGACCCCGTCCAGCTTTTCTCTCCACCCCTCCACTGCACCTGCTCCTGACAAAGTCCCCAAGGCATCCATGTCCCCAGCTCCAACACACAGTTCTCAGTAAGCATGTAACACACTAAGGCCTCCCAGAAGTGTCATCCAATTGCTGGGCCAAACTTGGGGGTCATTGGTGACTCTCCTCTTCCTCTCTTCCTGAATAACCCATCCAGAAAAATCACATCAAGCGCATTCTACTTGCAACGTGTCTTACTTCCACTGCTGAGTTTGTGTTTTCATCATTTGTCACTAGGATTTCTCCAGCCTTTTTTAAGTTGATCTCTGAAATCCCAGGATTTCTCCGAGCATTTTTAAAATGATCTCAATTCCACTCTTGTTCCTCACTCCCATCCTACCGACATTTCTTCTTATAGCAGCCAAAATGGTCATTTTAAAACCTCACTGCCATTCAAAAATCACTGAAGGTGGACCATCCAGCAACAGGATAGGGAAGAAAAACCACACAATCACATCATTAGATGCAGACAAAGCATTTGACAAAATCCAACACCCATTCATGATTTAAAACCGAAACACCCTCAGCCAACTATGATTAGAGGGTAACTTCTTCAGTTTGATAAGGGACACCTACAAAAACCCTAGAGCTAACAGCATACTAAATGGTGAGAAACTAGAAGCCTTTCCCACTAAGATCAGGAAGAAGGCAAGGCCCCCCCCTCTTGCCACTGCATCTCACTGTTACACTGCAATTCCTGGCCAATGCAATGAGACAAGAAAAGGAAATACAAGGTATACAGATTGGGAAGGGAGAAATAGAAGTTTTCTCTGCAAATGACAGGATTGTCTATGAAGAAAATCTCTGCCTTGCTCAAAATCCTACATCATAATTCATTGTATAGAGGATACAAATCAAAGCCCTTAAAATGTCCTGAAAGACCCCTGAGTTTTTCTCCCGTCACAATCATGTGGTCCTTTTCTCCCTCAGTTGCAGTTATTCTGACTGTTCAGTTAAACGAAAATGTGGCCAGGCATGGTGGCTCATGCCTGTCATCTTAGCACTTTGGGAGGCGGAGGCAGGAGGATCGCTTGAGCATGGGAGTTGGAGATTAGTCTGGGCAACATAACAAGCCCCTGTGTCTACTAAAAATACAAAAAGTTAGCCAGGCATGGTGGCACATACCTGTAGTCTCAGCTACTCAGAAAGCTGAGGTGGGAGAATCACCTGAGTCAGGGAAGTTGAGGCTGCAGTGAGCCGTGACAGCACCACTGTACTCAAGCCTGGACAACAGGAGTGAGACCCTGTCTTAGAAAAGAAAAAAGGCCAGGTACAGTGGCTCACGCCTGTACTCCCAGCACTTTGCGAGGCCGAGGCGGGTGGATCACGAGGTCAGGAGATCGAGACCATCCTGGCCAACATGGTGAAACCCCGCCTCTACTAAAAATACAAATACAAATAATAATAATAATAATGATAATAATAATAATAATAATAATAATAATAATAATAGCAGGGCATGGTGGTGTGCACCTGTAATCCAGCTACTCGGGAGGTTGAGGCAGGAGAATCGCTTGAACCAGGGAGTCAGAGGTTTCAGTGACCTGAGATAGTGCCACTGCACTCCAGCCTAGTGACAGAGTGAGACTCCGTCAAAAAAAAAAAAAAAAAGGCATCAAGTCCTTCTATCTCCCAAGGTCTTCAGGCCTGCTCTTATCTCCCTAAATCCTGTTCCCAGGGCCATGGCAGAGGCCACCTCTGATGCCACCCTCAATGTGCTCTCAGGTCCCCGTGCACTCCCCTGCTGGTTGGCCTCTGGACTTTCTTTGAAGCTTTGGGAGGTGCTCAACTTGGGGAGTGGGGTGTGTGGGTGAGGAGCAGCCCTCAGTCACTGGGACCTAGAAGCTGAAAAGCTGTCCAGCCTTCCTAAGCTGACGTGCACTCCAAGCTGCTCCTGTTAGAGCACCCCAGCAGGACGGGGCCCCGGTGGCCACAGGAGCAGCCCAGCGTCACCGCAGCCTCTGGGACGTCCTCTCCTGCCCTGCCTCTCTCTCCCTACTTCCTCTCTCTAGTTTCCTGGGATCGATCTCCCAAATGAACTACCTGCACCCAAATCCACACCTCAAAACCTGCTTGTGGGAGAACCCAGGGGGAGATTTAATAACGACGTCCTCAAAAAGTTCTTTTCTGATGTCACAAACTGTATTTGTTGCCCTTTTCACATTCACCAATAACACTCCATATGTTTCCTTCAGAGAATTATAACTTGTAATTGTCTGTTCCTTGGGTAACTTCTGGGCGGATCCCTCTCTAGACTGAAGGCTTCATGGGGCGGCAACCGTGGTTTTCTGTGCTGCTCACACGCTGAGAACACAGGAGAGGCCGTCAGTACATTTGTGTGATTTTCTTGTTGCGGTTGCATGAAATAATATATATATATATTTTTAAAAAACGTGAAGGGATGGGGACGAAATGCAGGGGAGGAAAGCAAAGGGAAAGTAAATTGTGAAATGAAAATAAATTGGCCTGGAATCTCTCCCTAGTTGAGGTTTGGGCGCTGAATGCACCTTTTTTTTTTTTTTTTTTGACAGTGGAGACCACTGATAGATTCGGGAAACATTTAGAAGAAATGGACAGCGGCCGGACTTCTTTCTCCCATTCACCTTTCTACCCCCTCGTCGTTTAGCACTCTGCCTTGAAAATAAACTGCAACTGATGAATATTTTGGTGATCAATTATACGGGGAATTCTTACAGAGCCTGTTTTTTGTTTAAAGATCTTGGAATTTCTGGAAAAGATTGGTTTGTCCATTCCAAATATTTTGGATGACCTGATTTCATTCTAACTCCCATCCGTCTTTCTATGCGGTTTGTTTTCGCATCTTTTACCTCATTTAAATGCCGTAGCCATGCAGGTGGAAAGCAGAAATCCATTTCTGCGTTTATGTTAAACTGGGGCTGAGAGACTTGCCCAGGGTCGGTGACCGCCCAGGGATCCCCATACCAGCGCGTCTAGCTCCCGCGTTCCGATCCCGGAAGGGAAAACCCATGATCCTGGCGAGGGTCCGTCCACACGTGGCCAGGGTGGCTGATCTTCCCGGCTGCTGTGGTTGTCAACACCACTTCTCCGGATCGATTTTCCCTTTTCCTCGGCTCTGTCGTCCATACGCCACTCACAGCAAACCCAGGCGGCGGGCCCCCTCCGAGGGCGCTCCTTGCGTCCGGACCCAGGTTCTCGGGGCGCCCCCCGGTGGGTCCCCGCGAAGCCGCCGCCGCACACCTTCCTCAGCGTAGCCCGCCAGTGGAAACCGGGGGAGGTTCTGCCTCCAGCACCCAAGCGGCGGCCGCACCTCGCAGTGAGACCCTCGCAAGCGCCCGCGCCTCCCTCGCCCCGCGTCCCCTCTGCCCCGCGAGCCCCCCTGGGCGCCGAGCCGACTCGAACCCGAGCGCGAGTCCCGCGCACAAACGCGCCGGCGCGTCTCTAACAGCGGTCCAGAAAGGCTGACCCTGCCCGGGGGCGACGGGTGTGACCGGGTCCCCCGCTAACTTTCGGGCGCGGTGAGCGTCGCCTGCGCGCGCCGCGGTGGAGGCCGCTGCTTTCCCGCCGGGAGCCCGGCACAGTCCCCGGGTGACCCGCGCGCCCCGCGCAACAGTTGGAGCCGGGCTGCCCGCGCGCTCCCCAAGCCGGGCCCTTCCCCAGATGCAGCCGCGCGCCGGCCGCCCCCCAGTGCGCCGGTGCCTCCCTGGGCGCCGAGTGCGCAGGCGCCGGCCGTGAAGACCGACCGTGCGCCGGGCTCGAGCGCGGTCTGAGCGCGCGGCGCCTGCGGCGGCGAACGGACGGACGGACCGCGGACGGACGTACTGACCCCAACCCGCGAGCCCCGGGAGCCGTCGGTCTGAGGAGGGGCCGCTTCGCCATGTCGCCCCGCACCTGCTGAGCCCGGAGCGTCCGAGGATGTCCGCGCTGAGGAAGGTGCGAGCCGCCGGGGGCTGCCGGGAGCCGGGCGCGGGGCTCCGAGAGCCGTCGAGGCGGGGAGGGCGCGGTGTGTCGGACCCGCGGGGACGCCCCGAGGGCGTCAGGGTTGGGGGCGGGGGCGAGCGGGGGTCGTGCCGCCCGCCGGGGCCGGAGCGCTGGGGACCCCAGGGACAGCCTGTGCTCGGGGGTCGCGCGTTGCGCTCCTCGCCGGGCTCCGCGCATCCCTGGCCGCGCTCGGGGGTGCCGGGACCCTGGGCTCCGGGGGTGCGGGAGCGCACGGGGCCGCGGAGGTGTGAAATTCTCCGCTCTGCCTGCCCGGGGTGGAGGGGGCAAAGCCTGGGGGGTGCCGGCGCGCCAGGGGCTACGCGCCTAGCTCCGGTGGGGCAGCTGCGAGCGAGTGGGGGCGGCGGGCAGCAGACTGCATCCCCCTCCCCCCAAGCCCGGGTGGAAACGCCGACGGGGACTGGGAATGAATGAAGGGTGCCGGGCTGGGCTGCGCGCACGGGGGCTCGCGGGGGCGGGGGCGACCAGGATGGGGCCCTTGTGCCGGGCAGCAGCGGCTGCCGAGACCAGGCGGAGTGGAGGGTGCGCGCAGCGAGGGGGTGGCCGCCGCCCGGCTCTCCAAGTGCGAGCGAGGAGCTCGGGGTCTTTTTTAGGGGTGGTTGCTAAGCGAGGCGCTACCCAGCGCAGGGTTTTGTAACTAAGCCTCCCCCGGCAGCGGCTGTTGCTGTCTCCGGCTCCTTCGCTAACGATTGCAGGAGAAATAATGAGGATGTAATTATTACAGCCCTGCGCGGAGGGCTGGGGGGCGGCGGACGCGGGCTCCTCTGCCTGCGCGCCCAGGTGGGGCTGGGCTGGGCTGGGCTGGGCTGGGCTGGACTGGACGCCTCTCCCCGCCCGGCCCTCCCTCAGCGCGCGGCGTGTGCGGTGCCCGAGGCTTCGGAGCAGGCTGGACCTGGGAACCCGGGGAGGGGCCTGGAGGAGAGATAGCTGGGCGAGGTGGGCGCCGGCGAGAAGGCGGAGCCCCCGGACAGCGTAGGTTCGCAGGTGGAGAGCGGACGCGGGGGCGAGGGTGCGCGGCGGGTCTGCGATGCGCGTCGGAAACTCGCGGCCCCCGGTCCCGGCCCTGCGCGCTTGGAGCCCGGGTCCTTCCAGCCCCTGCGCGACGCCGCCGCCGCCGCCGCCGGTGAATGGCGATCCCGGCCACGGCCTGGAATTGGAAATTCGTGACTTGTCGGCGGCCCCGGTCTTCTATCGATTAAAGATAAAGCGATCAGCAGTGAATTTATCCTTCGTGTGGATGAACTCGGCCAGCCCGGGCTGTGGGGGGTTTGGGAACTGTAAATATTCTCCAAAGCGCCGCCGCTTCTCCCGTCTTCCCGGACTCGAGGCTGGAGGCAGCTCCGGCGACGCGAAGGGGGGTACCCCCCGGAGAGGTCGGGCCTGGGGCGCGGCGGACAGAGACCCGGTCCCAGAGCCTGGCGGAGCCCGACAATCCGCCCTGTCAGGAGGAATCTCATCAACAGCCCGTGAATTAATTGTCCTTGCAGTTGGGAAATAACCCGGTACCTCGGCGTAGCCCGAGGGAGTCCAGGAGGCTCTCCAAGGAGCCTTCCCCCGGGTCGCGAAGCTGCGCTAAACCCCGGCCCCAGCGCACCTTGGAAGGCGCATTTTGGCCTGAGGTGAACGCACCTTACACCATTTTCATTTTACTTCCTTTTCTCTGAGAAAGGTAATAGATAACCAAGGCCAAAAATGGCGAAATGATGAAAAAATGGTAATTCTTGGCAGGTCAAGTTGTTACTCTGGGTTTAAAAAAATGTCATTAATCAGGATTTTCCAGTAGCCAAATTGTCTTGTGCCGGCAGCTGGGTGACTCACAGATTTGGCTCCAATAGTAATTGTAGAGTGTGCGTACCATTTCCTTCTGGATGGTGTGACTTTTTCATTGCTTGGAAGAGAACACATTAGAATATTTTATCCCCTACATCTGGCAGCATGTGGAGCAGGCTGTAGGCAATACTCTGTCCAAGCACATCTGGGCGGGGAGGCCGTGGAGGGACCGAGGTGACACAGAGCCGGCCCTGTCCTCGGTTCTGTCTCGGGTCACCTGAGGCATCTTCACCGCGGCAGCTCGGGCGCGTGGGATCTGCTCTCAGTGATGACCTGGGACGCATCCTGCCTCTGTGCGCCATTCCTGCCCCTTCACTGTCACTCCTTGGTGATCGCCCGTGTTCTTGGGTAAGCAGTGGAGAGGCACAGAATGGCTTCCTCTGTTGATCTACCGCGTCAAATCTGTATATTATAATTTCAGGTTAAAGGGTAAGAGTTGTAAGCAAAATGAGTACTACGTCAAATAATTCAAAGGAACGAAGTAATTAAAAGTAAAGCTTTCTCAGCACGAAGATGTTTTCTCAGATAAGCATTCTAAGTCAACTTTTCATAGTATTCAATGTCTATTTGTTATTCTTCGAAAGAACTTTGCACTTATGATTGTCCAAAGTGGTACAGCTTGAGACAGAAATAAACATGTATTTATTTACCAACTTTTTGTATGCCTTTTGTTACTTGTGATTTAAATGGGTTAATTCGATTTTTAGTTTTGTAGAATTCAGATCACATGACATTATTTCTCCCCAGTGACATACATGCCCTTCTGTGGCAATCTATTGCTTCTCTTATTTGTGTCTACTTATTTCAGTTTTGAAATTGGTAGAAATTCCAAATTAAATATTAAAAGCAAAAATAGGCTTCGTGGAATTTAAATTACATTGGATTCTGTGTACCCAGAACCCAACTAATTCTGAAACTAAAGTGCTCTAATATCTTTTTAAGGGTGAGAGGATTTTGTTTTGTTTTATTTTGAAGATATCATCTTCCATAATGTTGAAATTGAAGAAATGCTATAATTTTTTTATTATATAACTGTATTTGAGGAAAAGCTTCATGACTCCTCAGTTATCCAAGGAGTTGAATGATGTATACTTTGATTATAGATTTTAAAATGAAGTTGATTAAATATTCTATTTATTGACCCTCAGGATGGATGCTCCATGGTCATTCATTGGATACAATAAAAATAACTATGATTCATCATTTTGGCCAGATGGGAGTCATATTTAGAGCATTGCCATCATGTTGGTTATAAAAGAATTACAGGCTGCCATACAGGAAGTTAGTAGGCACACTTTCTATGCAGTTAAAAATTATTCTTAATCAACCGTAGTTTTACCAACTAGTTTTCATCATACGAGGCTTTCTAGTGCCACTAACTTCTTCAATATGTTTTGTTGTTTCCTGGGTACTTGTGCGTACAAAAACTGAGCATAGTGATTTCACGTGTGCTCATGACAAAAGACTTTAATTTCTAGGGAAGTTAAGCAGATGGGCTTTGGCATTGACCAGGCATGGGGTCGTAGGGTGTGCAAACTCTAGTTTAAATCTTGCATCTACTGGTAGCCACCTTTCCCTTCCAAGGCTTAACAGCAGTAACAAATTAATCTCCTCAGCAAAGGCAGTAGGAGCTCATTTGTAAAGCTCTGTTTTTCTTTTTTCATGTCATTCTTCTGTGCACTGACTTCATCTGCCTATGAAAATCTTCTCCCAGTCCTCAGGTCATGGGCCTTGACATGCAGTCCCTTAACTTTAGCTCCAGGAGAGGGGCCTGGGTGTTCTGACATCCCGGTGATGGGTGTCCGCTGCAGGTGCACCTCTCCTGACTTGATGGCAGTGTCTTCATGTGGGATGTCAGTTGCCTTAGTTCTGGAAGTGTCCTGTCTGTATTTATTGGCGGGCCTTCAGGAGTTGAGCTTTCTAGACCCGTTACTGCAGACTCCAGTGTATTTGCAGTTCAGTGTACGCTTCCCTTTCCAGGCAGCAGCCAGCTCCCCTTAGGGAACACCTGCCACCTCATGGGGTTGGCTTGGCGGACCCTACTTCCCGTCAGAGGTGGCTCCTGACTGGCCGGAGCCCTAACTCCCTCTCAAGAGCAATTGGATGAGTGAAGAGCGGGAACTTTCAAGGAGAGGAAAGCTTTAGGAAAAACAGCGGGAAAGGTGTAAGGCCTGCAGTTGTGGCATCAGTGCACAGCCTTGCAGGGATGGCCTGTCTGGAAATGACACCTTCCTCATCTGTCTGTGGAGGAGAAGGGCGGCTGTTATGCAGAGAGCTTGGTCCTGAGGATGCTGTTGGAAGCTCTGAACTAAGTTATGCCTGAACCATCATTACCCCGTGACTTTCAGTTACATAAACCAGGAGATTGTTTCTTTGAACTGAGTTTTCTGTCCCTGACAAGCAAATGGGATGTATGGGCTTTTAGTTTCTTCAGACATTTCCACATTAAACCTCTTGTTGCAGGGAAAGGCTTATTCATCTTCGGGTACTGTTTCTTATATGGTACATCGTGTGTATCGGCAGGAAAAAAAGAGAAAAATTTAAATCAACCATTTTAAACAATGAATAAACATTTGGAAATAGCCCATCTGTAAACTTGTGTTAAAAATTTTTAAAGTAACCTGTGAATCTGACTGATCGTTGTCTTTAAAATGTTTCATACTCTGTACAAAAGAAGAAAAATGGGAATGATCTCAAGGGTCCATAGAGTATGTATTTTAAGTTAGGCGGTATTGAAAAACATCCTTTTGTGTGTAACGAATGTTTGTCCTGTGACTTTTGCACAGCATTGCAAGTGGCTTTTTAGAGACAGGGTCTCCCTCTGTCACCCAGGCGGGAGTGCACTGGCATGATCATAGCTAACTGCAGTCTTGACCTCCTGGGCACGAGTGATCCTCCCACCTCAGCCTGTCTAGTAGTTGGTGTATGTCACCGCACCCAACTAATTTTTACTTTTTTTTTTTTTGGTAGAGACGGAGGTCTTGCAGTGTTGCCCAGGCTGGCCTTAGATTCCTGTCCTTAAGGAATCCTCCTGCCCTGGCCTCCTCAAGTGCTGGGATTACAGGAGTGAGTCACTTTTCCCAGCTGCATTTGGCTCTTTATTTGACCTCACCGTATTTCAGTTTTCTCATCACTAAGAGTGGGGCCAATGCAATATTAACTTGATAGGGTTAAGGAGGATTAAATGAATTCATGACTGTAAAGTGATAAGAATGGTGCACGTAGGAAATGCTGGATTAGTCTTGACTATTTTTATCATGAAAAAATACAATTGAGGCCTACTTTGAGTCAGTCCACAATGGAAGTTATCAAGCAACTCTTTGATTTCTCTCAAAACTGTTTTATTTATTATTTCTGGTCTTGTTTTACTTTTTTGTATATCTCTTGCCACTTTCCAAAAAGTTTTGGACCCAACTTAACCACAGAAGGACAAGGGAAAAAATGCTAATTAGAAAATAGAAATAGAAAATCGGAAGAAACACATGTGATAACCATGAGGATGGATGTAATTCTCTGGGCATCACGTTTGACACTGAGCTTCCAGGGAGTCAAGTCAACAAAACCCAAAACTACAAAGCCATGTTCAACCTGAGGATCATGCTTTCAGGGTAGACGTTGCATACTCATTTTTTGGTGAAGATAAATTTTCTCTGGCACTAACTTGTAAGAGATGTTCTGAGGGTAGATCTTATATTCAGGGGCTGGGGTTGTGTAATATATAACAGTTAAAAATACAGAAGTATTTTTTAATGATTTTGTCTTGATTTGGTTTCTTTGAAATAAACCAAAAGCAAAACTCACATGCACAGCCTACCCTCAGCACTGATGACCTCTTCTTGGTATTTATTTACTTACTTATTTAGAGACGGTCTCACTCCTGTGTTTCAGGTTGGAGTGAGTGGCATAATCTCAGCTCACTGCAGCCTTGACCTCCTGGGCTCAAGCGATCTTCCCACCTCAGCCTCCCGAGTAGCTGGGACTACAGGCGTGCACCACCACACCCAGCTAATTTTTTGTATTTTTAGTAGAGATGGGGTTTCACCATGTTGTCCAGACTAGACTCTGACTCCTGGGCTCTAGCCATCAGCCTACCCCAGCCTCCCAAAATGTTGCGATTGTGGGCATGGGCCACTGCGCGATGCCTTTTGCTGGTATTTGCATGTGATTTCCGTGGCCGGGTCTTCATGTCTGGATCACTCACTAAGCTACTGTGGTTTAGGGCTGAAGACGTGGATTCACGTCGTGTGTCCTGCAGACAACAGCAGTTTCTCAAGTTTCACGTGCCTTCACGTTTCCTCTGAGTCTTTGCATCTAAATGCCCAGACACCTGTTTTAGCTGAAGGAAGTGACTTGTTCTGGTGGCCGTGGCAGTCTATGGATGGAGCCATCATCGTGGTTCTCTCAGACCCAGCGCCGCTTCCCTCTTCTGTCTCTCATCTTGTGCGTTGGGAAGAAGTGCTCGTTCGCTCAGCAAGCTTAGAGGCAGCGTCTCCTCTCCACATATACCCCCGACCCACGAGATTGGGTTGGGAAGGTTTCTCTGTGCTCTGACTGTTAGGGTGACACCTCTCACCACCTTGTAATTCCCACTTTCCTTGTCTTTGATGTATTGGAATAGCCACTCTGTGAGGAAGGGTCTTGATCACCCTTGAACCCTGGCCCTGGGTCGCATCTAATGATCTGAATGGGTGAAGGTGCAGAAGAGGGGCTGACGCCTCCTCGAGGTACAGATTCCCCAGCCCAACCTGCGTCCCTCCCTCTTCTCCGGCCACGTCGCCCTCCCGGGGTGCTGGCCGTCTGCTCCCCACGGTCACTCCCTGCCTCTTCTCCGGCCACGTCGCCCTCCCGGGGTGCTGGCCGTCTGCTCCCCACGGTCACTCCCTGCCTCTTCTCCGGCCACGTCGCCCTCCCGGGGTGCTGGCTGTCTGCTCCCCACGGTCACTCCCTGCCTCTTCTCCGGCCACGTCGCCCTCCCGGGGTGCTGGCTGTCTGCTTCCCACGGTCACTCCCTGTTCCCTGCCTGGGCTGTGCCCCAGCAACACTCTGGCTTCACCCACACTGGACGGTGCTTTTCATTCCGTCCTTTCCTCATGTCTGTTCTCTCAAACCTAGTTGGAATGCTGCTTCCCCGGCCCCGATGCCTGAGTGAGGTCATGCTCCCAGCCTCCGAATTCCTCGCTTGGACTGGGTCCCGGCTTCCCCATCCCCCAGTCTGTCCGCATGCTGTCCTCAGTGCAGCAGAGATGGCGGGAAGGGGTAGCCCAGGCCATCCCCACACCTGCCGCAGGGTTTTAGGCCATGTCACTGGATAAACAGTTGCATGAACTCGTAAATACACACCGTGAATGCCTCGTTACGCCACCGTCCCTTCTCCCGCTGCTTCCGAGTTGTGGGTGCTGGAGACAAGCACAGCGGCAGGTTCTTTACCTTTTTTCTTGGTCTTTAATATGAAACCTTTAGCTCTTTAAAAATAATTTCCATTTTGTAACATTCTTTGTAATATTTTGACATTCTGAGCAAATTTCCGAACATCTGTTTTCTGGCTATACTATATATAATTTAGAAATTTGCATAAACAATTGAGAATTGTAGTTTCAACCTTTTGTTGTGGCCATTTCAGAATGAAGCACTACTGGGTCTGAAACAAAATGTTCTAGGTTGTCACTATAATTAGATTCAAAGTTTTATTTTTGTTGGTGAAACTTGAGTTCCGTAGTTCTTTAAAGCAACCAAACAGTATTTCTCAGTCTTCAATTTATCCAGCTACTTGCTTCTCTAATGATATTTTCTCAAGAGTCGCAGCACTCAATTTTAAAAAAACTCTTCTTTACATGTAACTATCCCAGCAATTTCACTTCTGGAAACTTTTCCTAAGGAAATAATCATGAATTTACAATAAGTTAGCTAAGTGGATGTTCCCTCCAGTTTTGTTTCATAGTATAATATTGGAAAACAGCAGTAACAGGATTGGGTAAATTCATGGTGGTACAGCAATGTTATAAAAAATACACATCCACAAAAACATGAAAGTTAAGTACCTAATTCTATAAGAAGGTGTTCATACCATATTAAGTAAAGAGAACGGACTATAAGACAGTATGAATACTTTCATCCCATTTCCCTAAAGCTACTGAGTTTGGAGCATAAAGACCAGACTGGAAGGATACCGACTCCAGAAAGAGGAACCCTAGAAGCCTGATCACATCTCCATCTCACTCAGCGCCAGGCCACCTGCCTATGGGGGTCCGCACCACCCCTCACGGCCTGCTCAGGCCAGCCAAGGTCATCCCCTCAACACTCTGCCCCCGTCACCCAGGCCTCCTTACTGGTGCCTGAACTTCAGTGATGGTCCTGGTCGGGGCCCGTGTGCCCTGCAGGAAGGCCGGGGGTGCGTCGCTGCTTTCCTCCAAGCCTTCCCACATGTGGAGCTTCTCAGAGAGACCAGGCCAAAGTGGGTGCCATCCCTCCAGTGCTCCCAGCTCCCTTGCCTTCTCACACCCCATGCGACTTATTTATTTTCGATGTTTTCTGATCATATCTGGCATCTGTTGAACGTTTCCTATGTGCTGGGCACTGCTGGGCGAGTTACTCATATTAACTCATAGAATTCTCATGCCAGCCCTGTGAGGTCAGTGCTGGCATTGTCTGCAGGCTGCGGATGAGGAAACTGGGGAAGAGGGGTCAGATGGCGCATTGGATCCCGTGTGGGGTCACACAGAGCCACAGGCCACGTCGGCAGGGGGGCTCCAGAGCTGGGGGCGCAGCCTCCACCATCCAGTGCCACGGGCTGGGAGAGAAGATCTGTGGGATAGAGGGCCGTCCACTGTGGTCATGGCAGTGTCCCTGCACCTGACACCTTGCTGGGCATGAGCCCCTCATCTGCTGAATGAATGTGGATCAGAATGCCAGCTGCACACTGGCAGGTGCTGAGGTGGACAGTGGTTTTGATTTTCTGTTTTTGTTTTTTTGCTGTATCAGCATACTTTTGGCTGCATATAATAGAAAGTCCCACACAAAACAGAAACTGAGGATTTGTGCGTTCTTACCACAAAGCACCACAGCCGGGCATCCTCAGCAACCAGGTTCCCTCTGTCTGCTCTGTGGCCTTCACCATCCCGGTGTAGCCCCTGCTGGCTGCGGACGCTGGTCCTGAAGGCATGATGCGAGGACGGTGCCCCTGTTAGGGTGATGTCGGCCCTGCAGGCGTGATGGGGACACCTTTGCAGTAAGGAAACCTTACTGTGAGTTCTCGGGAAGACCTCCCCTCACATCTCACCATGTCCGAGCCAGTGGCTAGGAAGGGAAATGGGCCCCTTGCCCTGGGCCTGGGGTGGTTTTACTCGCCCTCCTGGCCTGAGCTGTCCTGGTTCTCGGGGGGCTGGGGAGAGCGACACTGGAAAGCCGGCCTGTCCTAGAGACCAGGAGGCTCTAGAGTGTGAGGGGCTGCCGGGCACTGCCCCGCCTCTGACTGCTCTTCTGAGTTTGTGTACTACCCACAACGCGTCATACTTCTGAGTCTTACGGGACTTCTTTACGTTTTCATTCAGTAAAAAGACTGCAAGATATCATAAAGCAGACAGGGAAGGAGAAACCTCCTCTGAAAACCATCGAGCCGTAGTGACAAATGCACCATTTACCATGCTCCGCGCCAGTCACGCGATGGGCTTCTCCGCCGGGCCTCGCTTAGGCATCTTTGGTCCCAAGTTCCAGAAACAAGCTCTGGCTGATGAAAAGCAAGGCGGAGAGGCTGGGACAGGCCACGTTCCAGCCGAGGGGAACGCGGAGGACACAGGCGGCTGGAGGGTGACCTTTGAAGTAGGACGGGGCGCAGGGCGGGGGTGGGGGGCTCTGCAGCAGTATGAGGGGCTCCATGACGGGACGGGCAGGCTGTGTGGCAGGATTGGGTGCGGGGGCTCCAGGATGGGGCAGGGTGGGGGCCTTTGTGGTGGGATGAGTGTGCTCCATGGTGGGATGGGCGGGTCTGTGGTGGAATGAACGTGTCTGCGGTGGGATGGGGGGGCTCTGCGGTGGGATGGGGGTCTCTGCGGTGGGATGGGGGGCTCTGCGGTGGGATGGGGGGCTCTGTGGTGGGATGGGCGGGCCTGCGGTGGGATGGGGGGCTCTGTGGTGGGATGGGCGGGTCTGCGGTGGGATGGGCGGGTCTGCGGTGGGATGGGCGGGTCTGCGGTGGGATGGGGGGCTCTGCGGTGGGATGGGCGGGCCTGCGGTGGGATGGGGGGCTCTGTGGTGGGATGGGCGGGCCTGCGGTGGGATGGGGGGCTCTGCGGTGGGATGGGCGGGTCTGCGGTGGGATGGGCGGGTCTGCGGTGGGATGGGCGGGTCTGCGGTGGGATGGGGGGCTCTGCGGTGGGATGGGCGGGTCTGCGGTGGGATGGGGAGCTCTGCGGTGGGATGGGCGGGTCTGCGGTGGGATGGGCGGGTCTGCGGTGGGATGGGCGGGTCTGCGGTGGGATGGGGGGCTCTGCGGTGGGATGAGCGGGTCTGCGGTGGGATGGGCGGGTCTGCGGTGGGATGGGGCCGGCCTCTGTGGTGGGATGGGTGGACTCTGGTGGTGGCTCCGTGGGGGACTCCGTGGTGGGATGGGCAGGCTCTGGTGCTTTCTGTCTCTGTCTCGCTCCTCCAAGACTGAGGTCCACAGAGCCAGCTCAGCTCAGCCGCATGCTCCACGTAGCCACAGGGGTGCAGGGCCCCTGGGTGGGAACAGAGTGGGCCATGTGGGCGTTGGTGGGTCAGCATATCCCACACTGTGACCCGAGGAGGAAGCCCTTACCTGGCATTTGTTTTCTCCCAGAAAAGCAGCAGAGTCCAAAGCATAGAGGAGCCGAGAGATAGAATATCTCGTATCATTTACCACGCACTTTAGCTTTTTAAAAAGTGCTTACATATATTGGGTGACATCCAGCCCTGCGGTGCTGTGAATTTGCAAATGGCCTCACTGAGGAGCTCGTGGTGGCACACAGGTGTTCTGCACTGCCCATCAGCACCTGCCCGCTCCTTAGAGCCCTCCTCTGCAGTGGACTGGGATGCTCTCGGAAAGCAGCCAGTGGCTTCCCAGTGGACAAGGATGGGTGAAACCCCGGGGTTACTGCTTTGTTGTGCGGCGCGGAGACCTTTCGTTGGCTGCCAGATCTTTGCTTTCTGACAACTTTTATTATATTTGTTACATCTCTTGAGATTCTTCTCACCTACAATCTATTTTGCTCTCTCTGTATCTGGTGGTATAACGGGAGGTGAGCAGGCTACTTTTGTACATTTTCTTTTCTTTTTTCTGTATGTGAGAGGGGGCCTTGCTTGTTACCCAGGCTGGAATGCAGGGGCATCATCATAGCTCAGTGCAGCCTTGACTTTCTGGGCTCAGGTGATATTCCTGCCTCAGCCCTTGAGTAGCTGGGACTACAGGTGCACACCACCACACTTTTAATATTTTCAGTAAAGCTGGGGTTTGGCTATATTGCCCAGTCTGGTCTCAAACTCTTGGGTTCAAGCAGTCCCCCTGCCTCGGCCTCCCAAAGTGCTGTGATTACAGGCATCAGCCATTGCACCTGGCCTTCTTTTCTTTTATTTCTGGTCTTTTTATCTGCTAAGTATTTAGAAGCTAATTAATATATTACAAGTCAGCAATAATTCCGTGACCTAGAAATTATTATAGTTTATTGGTGTGTTTCTTTCCAGACTTCTCCTAATTATTTTAAAAATCAGAATTGGAAATTACCTTGTTTTTTTTTCACTTTATATTCTTTTCTAAGAATTTGCCTGTATATTCAAAACATCCTTTTATAAGTTAATTTTCATCGATGTGTAATGTTCCCGTATGGAGTGTGATTAAAACTTTCCCCTATTGTTTGACATTTCAGTTACTTACAAAAATGTTTGGCCATTGTTCTGGGGTTAATGTATTTTTTTGAATATTTTCTGAAAATGTAGATCTTTTTTTTCTCCAGTCAATTCCTAGGAACAGAATTATTGATTAATGGGTGTGTTTAGTTTCCTAGGGGCTGCTATAACAAGTTACCACAGATCGGGTGCCCGAAACGGCAGAGCGCGCTCTTGGTGCTGGAGGCTGGAAGCCTGGAGCCAAGGTATCCTGGGGCCTGCTCCCTCCAGAGGTGTGGGGAGGGTCCCCTCCTCTCCTGGCTTCTGATGGCTCCAGGCATCCTGGCTTGTGGCCTCATCACTCCAGCCTGCTTCTCTGTCTCCACGTGGCCTCCTCCTCTTCTCCTGGGGTCTCCCCTTCCATCCATCTCAGATCTCTCAAGCAGGACACATGTGAGTGCGGTCAGGGCCCACTCAGAAAGCCCCGGGTTATCCCCTCATCAAAGAGCCTTAGTTCATCACCTCTGCAAAGCCTGTCTTCCAAGCACGCTCACATTCCTGGGTGGAAGGGCTTTTCCTGGGTCTCCCTAGGGCCGGTTAGGCCGGCTGCATGGGCGAACGTTCCTGAGTCTGGAGGCCGTTGCCAGAGCTCTCTCTAGACACGCGCATCCACCCTGGCACCACCCGTGGGCACTGGCCGTGCCGCATCCTTGCCACACGAGGGGAGGTCAAGGCGATTGTGCAGAGTGGGCTCAGGGAGGACGTCACAGGAAAAGTAACAAAAGAAACCAAAATAAAAAGGAACAGAAATGGATCGATTGATCTAATGAAAACATTTCGAATCTTTTCTATGTCTACAGGAATAAAATCAAGTGTATTTAGAAACCGGTTAATACTCCAAATATAAGGGTTTTCCTGAGTGCATAAAAATTGACAAAGAATATAAACAGAAAATTAAAGAAGCCAATATTTCAGTTAATAAGCATTTGAAAATGGTCAAAATTGCCAATGAATGGTAACAGAAAACATGACTTTTAAAAACTACAAGTGAGCTATTATTTTACAGATAATTAACGGCCGTACATTTTGATGTCTGACTTCCACGGCACCTGGCCCACATCCCGGTCTGCCTCCGCCCTCCCCTGCACAGGTCCATCTACCATGCAGCCCCCACGGCTCGCCGTCTGCAGTGTTTCAGGCTGATGGGAGAACAGTGTTTCCTGTCTTTATAATGAGATGTAGATTCCCTATTTCAAAAGGCCTAATGGGATAGCATTTTTTAAAAAGAATTCAAATTGGCTAAATTTAGTTTCTGAAAAATGTCCAGTCCAAAAATAGACCTGTTCCGAAATATTTGTCACTGGGCCCCGGCTCGTTTTGTCTGAGAAGGTGAGTTGGCTGAGTTGTGGACGGTTGGAAGCTTCTTTTTCCATCAGCAAACAGGTGTCGGTAGGCACGCTGATCTCCGGCCACCCTCTCACGGAAAGGAGCATTTTCCTGGATCTCCGGCCACCCTCTCACGGGAAGGAGCATTTTCCTGGATCTCCGGCCACCCTCTCACGGGAAGGAGCATTTTCCTGGATCTCCGGCCACCCTCTCACGGGAAGGAGCATTTTCCTGGATCTCCGGCCACCCTCTCACGGGAAGGAGCATTTTCCTGGATCTCCGGCCACCCTCTCACGGGAAGGAGCATTTTCCTGGATCTCCGGCCACCCTCTCACGGGAAGGAGCATTTTCCTGGATCTCCGGCCACCCTCTCACGGAAAGGAGCATTTTCCTGGATCTCCGGCCATCCTCTCGTGGAAAGGAGCGTTTTCCTGGTGTTTGGCTGCTGCAAGTTTCTGACAGTCGCTCAGGAGGTGTCGCGCCATCTGTCCTCACTCGGCCGTCTCGTGACTCTGTGACCAGGCCTCATATTTTTTTCCCCGGGGACATTACGGAAGTTGGATCGTGAGGTTAGAAAAACTTGTCTCTGAGTTTCTTGTCTCTTTCTGGTCCTTATAGTAAGTTCATCTGACACTTTATAGTAAGTCCTTATAATAAGTTCATCTGACACTTTATAGTAAGTCCTTATAGGAAGTTCATCTGACACTTTATAGTAAGTCCTTATAGTAAGTTCATCTGACACTTCATAGTAAGTCCTTATAGTAAGTTCATCTGACACTTCATAGTAAGTCCTTATAGGAAGTTCATCTGACACTTTATAGTAAGTCCTTATAGTAAGTTCATCTGACATTTTATAGTAAGTCCTTATAGGAAGTTCATCTGACACTTCATAGTAAGTCCTTATAGGAAGTTCATCTGACACTTCATAGTAAGTCCTTATAGGAAGTTCATCTGACACTTCATAGTAAGTCCTTATAGGAAGTTCATCTGACACTTTATAGTAAGTCCTTATAGGAAGTTCATCTGACACTTTTTTCAGGCCCATTTTTTTTCTCCTTAAAGAAGTGGTCATTTGCTTCTGGCTTAGAAGAGGGTCTCCCTCCAGGGCTCTGGTGTGGCCCAGGTTCTTCCCTGGTGTTCACTCACCCAGTTTTCATCTCACTTGCCGCTTCGAGGTGAGGGTGCTGGGTTGCCTGCACCCCCTTCTCCCTTCCCTGTGCTGAAATCATTGGTCTCCCACTTTTTCCTCACTGTGAGGTCAGTGTGGGCTGAATCATTCTGTCCAGTTGTCCTGCCATGAAGCAGAGAGGGAGAGGAGAGACTCAGATAATCCCCAGGCTGCCGGCTACCACCAGTGGGCGCAGAAGGCAAGGTGCACGTTGCTCAATGCTCATGCCTCGCCTTCCTCCAGCCTAGTGTGCCCGGGCCGGTCTCACACCCATGGATTAAAGGGCAGATGAGGCCTGGTCTTGCCCGCCGGAGAGCCACAGTCAGGCAAGAAGCACAGATGTGCCAATCTCGGTCGTGCCGCCAGGCAGAGGCCTGATGGCAGGGCCCGGTCAGCACCAGCCGCCTGGGCTCGGTGTGGGGTCAGCACCAGCCGCCTATGCTTGGTGTGGAGTCAGAAGGAGGGGATGGGGCAGGAGGTTCTCCAGACAGCTCTGTCCTTGCTGAGCACAGTGGGGGCTGCCCAGAAGATGAAGGCTTAAATTCCCTCCTGAAATTTATAAACGGGGAGATGCCATGGCGGCCAGGAGGCACTGGAGAGAGGCAGCCTGGAGGTGCAGGCTGTGCCCTTGAGGGATGCTTGTGACGGGATGCTGTGCCTTCAAGGTGGGTAGGGGAGACCTTCATGATACTGTCGGCTGGGCCCAGGGCACTGCACGTCGGGCTCAGAGCCTCCCACTCCTGCCCCTCCAAGAAGGCGACCTCTGGGGTCCTCAGAGCAGCCTTCTGTAGGCGACTCTCAGCTGTTTAAGTGGATCACCCTCACTCGGTTCCCAATTATTATCATGTGAAAAACGGCAGAAACTGCAGTCATTGTGTGGTTACCACTTTCCTACACCTCTTCCTTAAGGGAACAGATTACAGCTCTGTCTTTTAACTTGGTGTATTTGGGGCAAGTGTTACCATGTGTCTTGCAAACCTGCAACCAGAGGTGTTGAGAAGCCAGGAGGGTTCTGAGAAGCCAGGAGGGTTTACTGGTGGGACGCAGACCTGACCGCTTAGGGCCGGATGGGTGTTGCTGCGGACCCCGTCACTTACGCAGAGGAGGGGCCCGGTATTTATGAGGAATTGCTGCTCTGTATCACGGAACACAAACTTTACAAACGCGTCTTTGGAGGCTCACCAGTGCCGGGAGGTCAGGCCGTCCCCTGCTCTTTCTTGGGTTTCCAGCTCACAGGGCCCTGGTGGGTTTGTTTTGAAGCCCCCTCTAGGGAAATGGGACATTCAGTCACTAGGAAGAATAAGGGCCTTGAAATCATAACTACGCCAGCGAACATTTACTTCCAGGAAAGAAGAATTGCAGGGATGCCTGTGAGATGGGAGGTGCCGCTGAAGGTCTTTTGAGATTGTGGACAGACCTGCAGGAATGAGAAGTTCTCCGCGAGGCGCTGAGAGGGAGGCACAGATGCCTGGGGGAATGAAAAGGAGCCACAGACGGTGGATGGAGAGGGAGGAAGTAGTTGGTGGAGCAGCCAGCAGCCCTAGGAGCTTCGAGTTCTTTATTCATCATTCGAATGCTGTGGGTATAAAAACGTGCCGGCTCACCAGATGGAGCCTTATCCACTCCACAGACACACTTGCGTGTCCTCTAAGATGATCCAAGATAATGAAATAGATAAATACTTGTTATTTTCCTTGAGGTCTTAAAAAATCCTGCACAGAGAAAGCTGGGTATGTTGAGTGGGCCGCCGTGGGGTCGGCCGTTTCCTGTCCGGGCGGCGCGGTGCGGCGTGTGATTGCCGCAGGAAGGGCCTTCGCGGCCCCACCACGGGCCGACCCTGGGCGCGGTGTCAGGTGCACTTTAATTCCCCATTCAACAGCCCTGCCTTCTTGTCTACCTTGCCTGGAGCCCTCTTTCTGAGGGTGGGAAGCTTCGGTTGCCTGGCAGATCTGAGTGAGGATGGAACCGCACCGCTCCACGTGGGGAGTGAGTGGTACAGCGTGGGAGGCCTCAGATCAGGTGCCTTTCCGAGTCCTCACGGCAGCCTCTGCAGCAGGCGTCCCAGCCACACCTGACAACCTTTCCTGGGGCTCACTTTGCGAGACCCTGACGGATTTCGTCCACTGTCACTGCCGTATCCCGTCGCCAACTCTGCCGAGTACTTCCCGATCTCACTGACACACGGTTCTGTTCCACACTGACATGGACAGATTTCACTGAACCTTAAACAATGGGACAACTCTCTTCCTAAAAAATCCAGGACTGACAGAAGCCAAGACACTTTCGGCCTGGGTTTTGCATGTTTTACCTGCCTTCCTCTGTGCCCATGCCTTTCCTGAAAGGTTCAGTGAGCTTTGCTTAGAAACAATGGTTGCAGTGTCATTATCTTACGTTCCTGAAGCTAGGAATAATATTACTTAGACGTCCAAGGCCACAGAATAGGGATTGAAAAGCAGTGTGCCTGCCCAGGTGCGGGGCTTACACCTGCAATCCCAGTGCTCTGCGAGGCCAAGGAGGGAAGATTGAGGTCAGGAGTTTGAGACCAGCCTGGGCAACATAGTGAGACCCCACCTCTAAAAAATAATTAGCCAGGCATGGTGGTGTGCACCAGTAATCCGGTCACTCAGGAGGCTGAGGTGGGAGGATCGCTTGAGTCCAGGAGTCTGAGGCTGCCATGAGCCACACACGCCACTGCACTCCAGCTTGGTGACAGAGTGAGACCCTGTCTCTAAAAAAGAAAGAAAAAAAGCAAGTAAGGAAGCAAGCAGTGTGCTGTTGTAACCAAGATACATATTTTTAGTCCATCTGGTAAATCATCCTAGCAATTTGTGATAATCTGGATGACTTTGGCTGAGTTTCTGGAAGCTTGCTCACAATATGGTCTTCTAGAAGAGGCTTTTGGCATGTCTGGTGGATACAAAAGAGGACACGAGGGTTTATTACTGATGAGTCATTCATTCATTTGATGTATTTACCAATAACCCCCAGTGTGTCCCTCACTGGGTTTGGCCTTGAGTGTGCTTTTGTAAATACAGAGGACAGTGTTTTCTGGATTTAGAGTCTGTGGAGGGAGATAAATATTAAGTATCCTGTAATCCTAGCACTTTGGGAGGCCAAGGTGGGTGAATTGCTTGAGCTCAGGAGTTTGAGACAAGCTTGGGCAACGTGGCAAAACCTTGTATCTACAAAAAATACTCAAATTATTAATACCTAGGCGTGGGGGCTCTTGCCTGAGGTCTCAGCTACTCGGGAGATGGGAGGAACACTTGAACACAGGAGGCAGAGGTTGCAGTGAGCTGTGATTGCCACTGCACTCCAGCCTGGGCGACAGAGCAAGACCCTGTCTCAAAAAGAAAAAAAATTAATTGCCAAGCAAGTGAATTGCTAAACATGTTTTTAATAATCTTAATTATAACTGAGCTCTGACTGTGGGAGCAGCTGGAAGCCCAGCGGAGAAGCGGCATTTGAGGTGTGAGGTCTGGTGCGTGAGTAGGAACGAGGGGCAGGTGGGGGTGAATGTATTCCAGGCCCAGGGAGAGAGGGAGGGGTGGAGCTCTTTGTGAATCTGAGGACTGTGGGTTGACTAGCGGCTGGCATGGCTAGGGGGCCTGGAGAGGGGCCCCATGTGTGTCAGATCCCCAGCTGGGGTGCCGTCCTCTGGGTGATGCCCCCAGGTGTGCTTTTGAAAGAGCAAAGTGCTGGGTGTTGGCTGGGAAGCCAGGATTCTGAATTTGTCAATTGACTGTCAGGGCTGTGCCACCCACACACCAGAAACCATGGCAGGGAAGGAGGCGGGTGGAGAGTGTGGGATAATGCTGGGGTGTGCCCACAGGTGGTCGGGGGATCCAGGGTCATCCTAGTGCTTACCTGAGGCTTGGTGCCCTGAGCCGCTAGGGTCCTGTTTTAGGTTATAACCGGTATTTGGCTGACAAGGCAGTTAGGGGCCAGGCTGTGAGGGCCTTTTAGGTCATGTTAGCGGCTTTTTTTGTGCTAATAGTCATAAGAACACGCTGAGTTTGTGGCTGGAATACCTTGCTGGGGGCTGTGTGAGGATGAGCGGGTTGGGGCCACGAGTGTCTGGGAGGAGCTGGCGTCTGGGGGGGATACTGCTGGTGGCATAGGAGACGGGAGAAGGTGATGGGCTCATGCTGTTTAGCAAGTGGGCCAGGCATGGTCATGGCCGGATAGGGAGCAGGTGTGGGCAGGTTGGGGCTGACGGCAAAGACGATGTCGTTGTGGGACCGCCTTTGAGGGCCAGGTTGGGTTAGAAACCATGGAGCTGACATTGAGAATGTTCTCTGATCTGTTTTTAATTAGCACAGATGCAATCTTATATATTAGAGAAGATTTTAAGACACAATAAAAAATGCATGAACTTTGGTTTTCCATCCAGGCCTTGTTCTTTAGGTGTGAAAGTTGGGATTTACTTTTTTTTCATCTCCCTGATTTCATATTCATATGCAGCCTACCCTGAGATCATACTGGGATCTCAGGACAGAACTCTGTTGAGTCAAGACCTATGCAAGCTGAAAGATCGTCTGGTCAGGCCTCAGCTTTCATAGATGCGGAAACTGAGGCTGAACCTGGAATCCCCCTTCCCCTGAGCGCTGTCTCCCCACGCAGGCTCTGCCCAGCCACACCCTCCTCACCCTGAGCTTGAGTCAGGAGAACGTTCTTTTAGCAGATCTCCCGCCTCCGGTCTCTCTCGGCTTGAAACCATCCTACACACAGCTGCCGGGATAATCTTTCTGGAGCCATTTTTATCATGTCACTTCTCTGCATGCGGTGTTTTCTGTTGCGTTTTGGCAGACCCAGATTTCCCCTTTCTGGCTCTCGAGTTTTCTGCAAAATGTCCTCTTTCCTGGGGTGCCCGCAATGGGTCTTCCGGAATGTTTGCCTCAAGAAGCTGTTTCCGTGCAGTTCCCTGTTCGTGGCTCCCTGTTTCCCGCCATGGGGCCTTTGCACATGCTGCACCCCCACCTGGAATACTCGTCATCAACCCCCACCTCGTGCTGTTTTTCCTCATTGCTCTCTGTCCCCTTCCCTTTGCCATCTAACTCCCTTTCTGCTTTAAACTTGCTCCAAAAAATTCTTCCCTCCCCTGAACTCGGACCATTTCCTCACTTTTGGGTCCCTTTTAGCAGTGAGTTATCCACTTTACATTTATAGAATATGTAAAATACCGCAATCCAGCCAACCTGCCCTCATCCAGTGATGAAGCCCATCTGTGAAAAATGCTAAGAAGGCCCCCATGAGATTTATTGAAAACATGGTTTCCTTCATGTGTCGGCCATGGTGCAGTTGCATGAGACTCGATTCATTTAGCACCGTGTTTTGAGGACTGTTGCTCTGAAAGTTGAATGACACCCGTAGGCACTGGGCTGATGGGATGTTCTGGTGGGTTCCTAAGCATGAGCCTTTGCTTCATTTGGGTTTTCCATTTGGACCCGGCCATACCCTCCCCTGTGTCACGTGCTGCTCACAGCAGTTGACGGATGGTGCTGGGTCACAGGCTGTGTGGTCCACAGGCGGGCTGAGGGTTGGGATCGTACGGGACCATATCTGAGATCAGATGTCTTTGAATTAAAGATTGTGTGTCTTTGATTTTCCTATTTTAGGTTCATGTTTTTAGCAGAATCTAGAGGGTGTTGAAGTTGTTCTGAAGCTGTATCCAATTCCCTGGTGCTCTGCATGAAAGTCACTGTGTAATCAAAGACTGAGTCTCCTCTCGTGTATTTTAAACAGGAATCGGGGCACGTGTAGCAGGCATTCCCAAATGCGTCTTGTCTCCTCGTTTCCCACCTCTGCGCTCATTAGTGACTGCTGGGCGGCGTGGGGCAAGTGTGTGGGGTTGAGTCCTGGTGCTGCTTGCTGCCTTTGAGCAGTGAGGACATGGCTGTGCCCTTTACTGTCCCTGCCCTGTTATTTTATCTGTGAAATGGAGATGATGGTAATTTCACCACTTACCATATGTGGCTGTTGGAAAGATCAGAATGAAAATGAGCTCACTGAAGCCTAAAAAGCAGGAGTGGCCATCCCGAGGTTCCCTCATGGCCAGGTGGACAGTGAAGCCAGGACTGATGGAGGGGCCCCTGTATTGTGAGCAATATTTCTTATTTTTGTTTCCAAAAATATTTTTTCTTCTGGCAAAAACTCGGTAGTGCCACATCTGTACTTTCTGAATAAACCTTGAAACAATCATGAAGGCCTTTCTGTAGGTAGAGGGTTACCTCGTTTCCCTGTTATTGCTTATCAGGTTGTATTTAAAAACTTAAAAATGATTTAATATTTATATATTTATAGATATTTTAAATAAAAGTAACATTTGCGTATAGTTTACAAATCAAATAGTTCAGTAGGAGCTACAATTGAAAAGCAAGAGCGTCTTGCTCCACCTCTGCCCATCCCAAGGTGCCCGGGAGAATCACCGTTAGTCACTGTTAAAGACTTCCTTTTCTGAAATTTTATTTGAGACAGGGTCTTATTCTGTTGCCCAGGCTGGAGTGCAGTGGTGCAGTCATGACTCACTGCAGCTTCAACCACCTGGGCTCAGGTGATTCTCCCACCTCAGACTCCTGAGTAGCTGGTACTACAGGTGTGCACCACCACACCTGGCTAATTTTTGTATTTTTTGTAGAAATGTGGTCTTGCCATTTTGTCCAGGCTGGTCCTGAACTCCTGGGCTCAAGTGATCTACCCGCCTCAGCTCCCGAAGTGCTGAGATTACAGATGTGAGTCACCATGCCCGGCCAAGACTATTTTTCAAAGAGTTTTAGATACACAGCAAAATTGAGCAGAAGGCACAGAGAGTTCCTATCTAACCACTACCCTCCCCAACAGCCTTCCCATTATCAATAACCCCCACAACCTTCCCATTATCAATACCCCCAACAGCCTTCCCATTATCAATACCCCTGACAGCCTTCCCATTATCAATACCCCCCACAACCTTCCCATTATCAATACCCCCCACAGCCTTCCTGTTATCAATACCCCCGACAGCCTTCCCATTATCAATACCCCTGACAGCTTTCCCATTATCAATACCCCCCACAGCCTTCCCGTTATCAATACCCCCGACAGCCTTCCCATTATCAATACCCCCCACAGCCTTCCTGTTATCAATACCCGCAACAGCCTCCCTGTTGTCAATACCCCCCACAGCCTCCCCATTATCAATACCCCCCACAGCCTCCCCATTATCAATACTGCCTGAGTGGTGTGTCTGCCACAGTGGATGGACCCACACTGATGCGTCATTGCCGTGTGGAGTCCATGGTTGACGTGGCTCCCCCTGGGCTGCACGTTTCCAGGGTTGGGACACGTTCCCGGGGTTGGGACGGGTATGCACAGGTGTGTGACCAGCACTCCGGAGTCCACGGTTGACGTGGGGCTCCCTCCTGGGCTGCACATTCCTGGGGTTGGGACGGGTGTGCACAGGTGTGTGTCCAGCACTCCAGAGTCCACGGTTGATGTGGGGCTCCCCCCTGGGCTGCACGTTCCCGGGACTGGGACGGGTGTGCATAGGTCTGAGTCCAGCACTCCGGTGTCCCCCAGGGCGGTTTCCCCATGTGACTCCCTGCGACTGGTTCCTGTGTGTAGCTCTGTGGGGATGACTTACACGCCCCTGATGTATCTACTCTAGACATTAAGTATTTACTACCTCTTCCCCTCTCTCGATAGAATTGAAACGTTGCTTTTAGTTCTTCCTTTGCTAACTCATTAACTTTAAACGATAAATTGCACCTTAATTTCTTGCTCTGTCAACTCTAGGCAGTGTCAGTTGACAGCCCAGCTTGCCGTGGAGAGATGCCAGCAGCTCCACGCTTACTTCTCATTTCGCTTCCACCACCCAGCAATTGTCAGGGTTGAGACCATTGAGAGTCTGTTTAGTAATCAGAGTTAATTTTGGTGCTTTTTTGTATAAGCCGAACATTGCAAATACATCTCTGTGTCCACCTTATGCTGACATTTTCCCTGCAGAGCTGACTGCTGCACACTGACGGTTTTCTTTCTTGTCCTTCCTGGAATTTCTGTGGCTTCTTCTTCTCTTGCATTTCCATCTTTATTCCTCTGAAAGGCATTCCAGAGGCCCAAGGGATGACACAGGCTTTTCAGTGTGACGCCTCCTGTCTCCTCCCTTGCTGCCTGATCTGCGGGGGTTTCTTTCCTGAAGTCTTCACTGTGACCTTCAGAATCAACTTCTCTTTAGGCCTGAATGCAGCCCTGTCCTTTCTAACCCTTTCATCTCTCTCCTGGTTAGACCGATTGTTTCTGAAATTTCTCATGTTTTTCTGTCCTTATTTCCACCTTCATTTTGTTGATGTCCGTCTTCAAATAATTTCCTAAAGTTTCTCATCTTGCCTGTCCAAAACTCTACCCTCATATATTTGAAAGTTTGGTTGGGTATAGAATTCTGACAGCAAAATAATTTTGCCTAAGAATTTTGAGGGCATTTTCCTTTCCTGAGTTTGTCGGCTTTAACTCAGTGTTGTTGCTGGGAAGCCTGATTTTTGTCCCTTTGCTGAAACTGACTCCTGCTCTCATGGCATAGTTTCTTCTCTTTATCCTTGTGTTCTAGAAACTCACAAAGGTGTGCATGGGTGTCAGGCATGTCCCTCAGTGCAGGGCTTCGCGAGCGCCTCCGATTGGGAGTTGCACGCATGCACCTGCTGCTTCCACAGGTGCTCGGCAGCGTCCCCCCACCCCTCCCACTTGCTCTCCTGTTGCTGGGGTTTGCTCTTCTCCTCAGGGTGCCTGCACCGAGAGCCACCATGCTGCGGGAGACCCTAATTCCCAGATCTTAGGTCTCAAATCAATTTTTGAGAGGAAGAATATTCCAATTTTGCGAGTGGGTGGTAGTTTCCAGGCTCATGGGCATTTTGATCGGGGGACATATGAGGACTGGCAGCTGACATGGTCGGTCCTGGCTAGCATCGAGTGTTTGCCTGTGCCGGGCGCCGTTCTGAACCATTCGCTCTCTGCACGTCGCTTGTGTCCCTTTCGTCTCTGCCCGGAGTGACCAGGCCTGGGTGTCTCAATCCTGGCTTGGGGGGCCAGGCCCCTTCTCTGCTCCCCCCCACTTTACTTTCTCCTCTGCTCCCTTCCTCTCCAGTTCCCAGTGAATTGGTAGAACCTGCTGGTCTTCCACCCACGCCTTCCATCTCTGTGGATTTCTTTCTTTCTGAACTCCTTTACTGTCACTCACTGGGGGTTTGAAGGAAGAGGAGGCACATCCATACAGTTCCTCAACCACCTCGAATCGGGAGCAGACTGCAGTTCTATTGCATCACGGATTTTGGCTTGAAATGTAGTATAACTCTCTAACGTTATTCACGTAATAATGGCCGGGCCTTCTGTAAGATTGTAGTTTTTTATATCTACATGGCGTTGCTTTTAAACAAAAATCTGTGGATTTTACAATTTCACAAGTGGACGTGTGGCTGAAAGGCCAGTGTGGGGGATCCTGGCCGGGATGGGCACTGGGTCCCCTCCATGCACCCTTAGGGAACATCTTCTTTCATGTTTGAAAGCAGAGACATCAGCAACCATGGAGTGAGAATCATTCCCGTGTGTCAGGCACTCCTGGAACCCTTCCTAGAAGACGGCCCGAAACGCGGAGCCAGCTCCCTCTATCCCTGAAATGAGTGCCTGAGGAAGAGCCTGAGGTCGCGCTGTCCTCACCCCTCTGTCCCGGGCTAGCTTCTTGCACCAGCTGTCCAGCCTGGCGTGCGACACCCTGCGGAGGAGGCCCTGGAGAGGGGATGGGGAAACGTTGGCCTCAAGACTGAGAAAGTGAACGCCCCTGAAGGCTGGATGAGGATGCTTCTGAAGCAGGAGATTTTCGCTTGTTTTTAAGAAAACCCGAGGAGGAACTGATGAACCCGCCTCGGGTGCAGCATCCAGAATATTTACGATGATAGGTCGCTGTGGGTTTTGGCGTATATCTTCCAGGCAGTCAAAGGCTGTGCTATGTAACTGTCACAGAACTCCTGTGTGTCTCTTTGTGAGCAAAGTTTCTCATGCTCACGTCTAGAAAAACAAAACATAATCCTAGAAGTAATGCTTGGCCCAATTAGTCCAACAGAAACTAATATTCATCCGTGGGAGAAAAAGCCCACTCTTACCATGAAGTGGTAGCAGTTTACTTTTTATGTGCAACTTATTACCAACGATATGGAATATCTTTGTCAAACTCTTGGGACCTCATGGTCACAGGGTGTTTTAAAATGTAAATTGTATTTGCATATACGTCTTTGTTGCAGAGAAGTATAACATGATGGATGAGAACTTTCAAGCATGTAATAGGTTATTTTGGGATGAAATCTTTGGCTCAAATGGAGTGGAATTAAGAGGTGAAACAGAGTAAAAGTAACAGTGTCAAATTTGTTCACGTATTTAAGAGAAACCATTCCGAGTCGCCACTTTGCTGACTCCCAGGGGTCACCCCCTGCTTTGCAGAGCTCTTCTGCTTGCCACCTGGGCAGCCCTACCACGGCAGCCACCCAGTGAGTATGACTCTTGAGGTCCACTGAATACATTTAAAGGAAGAAGGTGACAGTTTGGTTGATTGATTGAAGGAGACAGGGTCTCACTCTAGCCCAGGCTGGAGTGCGGTGGCACAGTCACCACAATCACAGCTCACTGCAGCCTCACCCTCCTGGGCTGCAGTGATCCTCCCCGTCAGCCTCCGGAGTAACTGGGATCACAGGTACACACCACTACACCAGGCTAGCTTTTGAATTTTTTGTAGATACAGAGTTTCACCATATTGCTCAGGCTGGTCTCCTACTCCTGGGCTCAAGCAGTCACTCACCTCGGCCTCCCAAAGTGCTGGGATTACAGGCGTGAGCCACTGCGCCCAGCTGACGGTTTTATTTAAATGTCCAGTAATGACAGTGGAGTAGGAATTAAGTCACTTGCAATACTTCACGAGTTATTCAAAGAGGGATTGGAGAAAAAAAAAAAGGGAAGACGACTAGTTTAGGGAATCTGGAATCCAGAAATCTGGTGGGTTTAGGAGTGCAGGGACGAAGCTGAGCCCAGGCTGACCGTGCCCTGGAAGGAGCACGGCGTTGTGGAGACATGGACTATCAGCAGCGCAGCCGGGATGAGGACTGGGGTTAACCCGCACTTCCCTTCGCGTGCTACTGCTGTATTTATTGAGAAGGTTGCTTGTTAAGGACGCACATCGTATTGAAGTGAAGATCACTGTTACTGTTGTCACTCATCTTCTTGCATATCAAGATAAAGAGCCCTCCATGGTTATCAGAAAAACTGCTTGAATCTGAAGGGGGAGCTTCACTGTTGCTGCCGTGCTCTTCTGCTGTTAGAAGTTGTTAAAGGAGGAGAACTTATCAATGGCATCTTGAATGGGATTTTGTTCCATAATTCGCACTTCTAAGACCATTCCTCATAGAATTTGCTCGAAAGGGTCTGTTGAGAATAAGAGAGTTGGAGTGACAATTTATGATGGAAACACATGATGAGTGGCAGACGTTAGGCAGGTGAGCAGATGGTGGTGGTCGGTGGCGACCCAGAGAGGCAGTGCTGGCTGAGGAGAGGGCAGCACACCTCACCGGGGACTCGGTGTGTCCTTCGTCTCAAAGACAATACGTGTGTCCTGAGTGCAAGGCACTGAACACACATGAGGTGTGGAAAACCCGATACTTGGTGGTAGAATTTAAAAAAAATGAAAAGAATGAGGCAAACGATGAAATAGAAAATCCTTCTAACTGCAGTCTTGACTCATAGCTGATGATTTCCTTATTTAAAACAGTATTTAGAATTAAACAGAAAGTGACGGCCTCATAAAGTGAAACCAATTGGTGTTTGGAGGGCCAGGGCCTTTACTGTGTTTGGCTGAGCTTCCGGCTTTTAATTGGAAATTTTCATTTTTAAGAGTCTAGTTTGTTCCAATAGGGTGTGTATGTCTTAAGACTTCCTAACCTGTAACCACATTTAGTTTTTGTGGTTTAAATAGACTGGCGAGGTACTGAGTCATGCCTCTCCCTCCTGAAGGCATGACATGCTGTCTGAATTGGGCCAGGGCTCAGCACCGTGCCGCAGCTGCCACTCATCCTGCCTCATTTTGGCAATGAAGAGTCACAGGCGTGGATTTAGACTGGAAGGCTTCTCACTACCCAGAGGTGAGGAAGTGTGGGGTACAACATTTTTATTCAAGTTTCCATCTAGAGAAATTGCTTCTATCACAAATCTTTTTAAACCTTTACTCGGTAATTTTCTCACTTCCTATGAACTACTCCATCCATCCGAGAGAAGAAATGAGATCAAAACTTACATAAACGCCTATTATATACTTTGTCACTTCGCTGTTTAAAAAAGAACTATCATTTTCTTTTAAAACCCATCAATGTGTCTTCTGACAGGATAACAAGTAGGAAATACCTGTGGTGGAGCCCACAGACTCTGTGGCTGATTTTGTGGTCTAGCCTTGTCACCCGAGTCCAAGCTCTTCTCAGTTTTATTGTTAGGTAATAAAAAATCACCCTCATGTTATTGATCAGTTATTTTTCTAATTAGATACATCAGTAACCTCTACCGTAAGTACCATAAAACTGGCCCCATCACACACCTTGTGGTTGTAGTAGAGGAATGACTTGTGCCGTCTTCTAAGCTGTTGTGTAAGGGGCTCATAACTTGCAGGTTCTCTCATAGGTATAACTGTGACCTAAGCAAAAAAGCAGTCTATTCTAAATACTAGCCACAGAACTTTAAAAAAATTTGTACCAAAATTTACCTATAAATCCAGATGTTTCATATCTAACCTACTCAAAGCAAAATGAAGATTCAAGGAGAAAAATGAATGATTCCTCAGCAACCAGAATAGATTCAATAAAGCTTGTGGCTGTTACTGATATAAATTGACAGTGACTAGTGGTAGTGAGCAAATTTTATTGAAAAGTTTGAATTGGCATTTAGAACGTATTTAGTAAAATTGGAGTATTGCAGAAAGGGACTTGAGGAAATGGGGCAGCTACAGTGGGTGGGGTGCCCGTCTCCACGCCCAGGTTTCAGGATGAGTTTCTCTGCTGTTATCTGTTTTTATATTGGAGTTTTTCCATATGAGTTTATTTAAAAGATAACTTTATTACAAAAAAACCCTAATATGAGCTATAAGATTTTCAAGGGCTGTTCTAGGGGTAAAATGATCTGATAATGTATCAATGTTAAATACTGTATTTGGTAAAATATTTTTTTTCTTTAGTGTGCAGGTAGTTTTTTAATAATATCCTTAAACCTGTTATGCGGTGGATAGAAAACAACAAATTCTTTGTCAGGAGTCTAACAGTGTTAGTGCCATATGTTGGTGGAGATCATTTTTGTTGACTTGTGCTGGAACCAAAATAATTATTAATTGCCAGATACGTGGCATTTGACCTGACTCAAATGACATTGGAATACAGCAGCCCTTGGGGCAGGCAAATGTCAGTCCAGTTTATATTGAAAACAGCACCCCAAAATGGTCCTGAAACAACAGTGACCCTAGGGAAAAAATTAATTTTTGTATAATATAAACAAGGGTCACGTTTGGGACCTCTAAGACTCTATGGAGTTTCCTCTATGGTCAGCAACATGGTGCCTTCACCTCGTTGCTCTGCCGTCCTTGATGTCTGTCTTTCCCACTGTGGCACATGTGTGTACACACATGCATGTACACAGACACACACACACGCGATGATGCACACACAAATGCACAAACACACCCCCACACACATGCAACCACACACAGGTGCACACAAACATACCCACATATGGCCGGGTGCGGTGGCTCACGCCTGTAATCCCAGTACTTTGGGAGGCTGATGCAGACACATCACAAGGTCGGGAATTCGAGACCAGTCTGACCAAAATGGTGAAACCCAGTCTCTACTAAAAATACAAAAATCAGCTGGGCGTGGTGGCATGTACCTGTAATCTCAGCTACTTGGGAGGCTGAGGCAGGAGAATTGCTTGAACCCGGGAAGCGGAGGTTGTAGTGAGTCGAGATTGTGCCATTACACTCCAGCCTGAGTGACAGAGCGAGACTCTGTCTCAAAAAAACAAAAAACAAGAAACAAAACCAATCCACACAACTCACATACATGCAATCACACACAGCTGCACATACGTGCACATATGCACACACACCCTAGGTGTGGGGTACATAACATCTGCCCCAAACCCTTTCCCAGTCAGCTCGTCACCCTGCGGTGTGGCTGCACACCCCTTGTTGGTCAACCCTCGTGTGTGTTCAAGTCACACCTATGCTGGAGGCCATCCTTCCTCTATGTGAGCTGCAGCGTTCTTTGAAATTCGTCACATAAATCTTTCTAATGTCCTCCGGAATTGAACTCTGGGGTGACCCAAATTAGTGCAGCAAATATATTGTGATATAGATGAATTACAGCTGGTGCCTCTGCCTTTATCAATGTGTCCGGCGTTATTG
Source organism: Homo sapiens (assembly GCF_000001405.40). Classification (NCBI taxonomy): domain Eukaryota; kingdom Metazoa; phylum Chordata; class Mammalia; order Primates; family Hominidae; genus Homo; species Homo sapiens. The sequence continues at coordinate 48,150 of NT_187572.1, forward strand.
GCTGTCGGAGTGAGAGCCAGATCTCATTCCACCAGCATTTCTCTCTGGGCAAGCACGCACATGCATGATACTTGGAGTGATCATGTCCGTTGACCAGTGGGCACCGTGCAGTCTCACAGAGGATGGTTTTCATTCTTTGAAAAGCAGCTTTTGTTTTACCAGAGTCAATCACCAAAGAACTAAGCTGTCCTGTCAACACTGCCAGCGTCAGACAGTTTAGCAGATGCAGTCCAGATGGACACTGTGTCCATCCTGAGGCTCGGCCAAAAGTGGTCTAAGAGCTGCTTATTCTTGGGCTGTGTTTTCTAGTTCCTTGGGTGGATGGGCGGCCTAGACTTGTAACATGTGAAGACCCGGGTGGGCAACAGTGAGGGGACATCCAAGGCCATGACTCAGCAGGAGCACAGCTTCCTCCTCCTGCGGTGCACTGGCGTCAGGCGCCCATGAGATGGGAAAGCCAGGCTCTGAGATTCTGGATGACGAAGATCCTCAAGCACTGTAACTTCTAGGAAAGGAAGTTAGATCCAGGGTGCCATCCCCGGGGTGCATCTCCTCTTTTGAGGTTGGTGTCCTGGTTATGAGCCGTGTGTTTCTGCTGGGGCCACATCCACGGCTCCGCTTCTTCCTGGATCCTTGTGGTCCTGCATGATGGACCTTCCACTCTTGCTAGCAAGGAAATAAAAACACAGGAACACCAGCCTGGTGAGCCACAGTTGTGGGAGGAAGTCAAGCAGTTCAAGGATGCCCAAAGGCACAGGTACAGGTGTTGCTGGCTACTGGCTGTTGACTGTTTTTTTTTTTTTTTTTTTTGAGACAGAGTTTCGGTCTGTCGCCCATTCTGGAGTGCAATGGTGCCATCTTGACTCGGTCTTGGCTCACTGCAAGCTCTGCCTCCCAGGTTCAAGCGATTCTCGTGCCTCAGTGGGTAGCTGGGATTAGAGGCACCTGGCACCCTGCCCGGCTAATTTTTGTATTTTTAGTAGAGACGGGGTTTCACCATGTTGGCCAGGCTGGTCTCGAACTCCTGACCTCGTGATCCACGTGCCTTGGCCTCCCAAAGTGCTGGGATTACAGGTACGAGCCACCACGCCAGGACGGCTGTTTAATTGTTTAAGGTACAAGGAGTTTGTGCATCAATCTTTAGGGTTGAGACATTATATTTCTACGGAGGTAGTGAGAATATTTGAGACACAGGCTGCTATCTGCAGCTGCAGCAGAGCTTTGGGGTGAGCACTCTTGGTAAGTGGTTTAGAATTAGCAACTGATAGCAAGGTTTTTATCAAATTCAGTAAACTTGACCCTCAGGGAGAAGTTTCTTGCAGTAGAGGGCTTCATTTGTGCCAGTGATGACACAATAATCTCTTGAGATGGACATTTAAGCTGTTTTTTACAATGTAAGAAGTAACCAAAGACATTAACTCAGAAAAGCAACACTTCTCTGATGTATAATTTAGAGGGACATGGTGGAGTGAAGGAAGATGTGCATTCTCTTTCAGCTCTCTAGTGTTTTCCCCACTTCCCGTGGGCTTTGGGAGTGTAATCAGAGGACAGGGAGATACAGGTCCCCTCACTCATTGTCCAGTTGGGTTTGAAATAAAAAGCAAGCTGGAGCCCGTTCACTGCAGCGTCTGAGGGAGGCCGGGGAGGCACTGCCACATGCTGGTCAGACAGGCATGTGGTAGCTGAGCCCTGCCTTTTGTTAGCATCTCCTCCTTATTCCTGAACCACTTCTAAGAGTAGTGTTGTGGTTATTTACTATACAGTCACTCAGACAAATTACTCAAATAACTGTTATTTCAGTTAAGCTTTTCGCTGTGGGCTTGTATGGACTTCAGCATGAACCAGGAGGGAAGGCGTTGATTTTTTTTTTTTTTTTTTTTTTTCTGACATGAATCTTGCTCTGTCTCCCAGGCTGGAGTGCAGTGGTGTGATCTTGGCTCACTGCAACCTCCACCTCCTGGGTTCAAGTGATTCTCCTGCCTCAGCCTCCCGAGTACCTGGGACTACAGGCGCTTGCCACCATGCCCGGCTAATTTTTTGTATTTTTAGTAGAGATGGGGTTTCACCATGTTAGCCAGGATGGTCTTGACCTCCTGACCTCATGATCTGCCCGCCTCGGCCTCCCAAAGTGCTGGGATTACAGATGGCGCTGATAATCTTGGTCTTGACTCTGATTGAGCCCACACCTCCTGGTGCACTCCAGCATCAAAAAACACTTAAAAATGGTGCGCTTCCATCGGAAAACCTAACATTTAAAATTGGCATGCTTTAAAAATATGAAATTCATTGGCTACTTACATCATTTCATGTGTCTGGGGTCAGGAGAACGCAGTCTGTGTGGGGCTGAGGACGCTGGCCTCACAGGAGGCTGGCTCTGGTCTGAACCTTGGGCGTCCGCAGCCTGTGTGAGGGGGCATATCCTTATCCCTCATGGCTGCAGCTTCCCAGAGGTGGGTGACACCAAGGGATTGTTTCGAGTATTAGGTGAGACAGTGCGTGCATGGTCAGGTGTGGTCCCGCACAAGCAGGTGGTCTGTCAGACTAGCAATAGTGAGTGTGAGCAGCTCGGATCTCTAGAGAAAGAAAATCAGCTCAGAAACCTTTTGAGGTTAATAAATAATGATAAACAGAAGCATTTCATCCCGAGGGGCAATCTGAAAGTTAAGAGACTAAGACATGAAGGCACATGGAGTGCTTGCAGTCTTGGGTCTCAGCAGGGAAGAAGTATTGTTCTCTTGAGTTTCCACTTGGATATCCAGCAGAAAAACGCTAACAAGAACTTGTTTAAAGGTGATTGTCAGTGTGGTCAGTTGTGAAGTGGGATGCCCCATAACAAGCAAAACGGCGGCAGACAGGAAGCATAGCCATTAACCCCGAATACAGGAAAAAGGGACAAACTATTTAGAAAAATGAAACAATAGAGAATCCCCATGTAATTTTCCCTTTTAGTGTTGCTCCTTTTTAAAAAATCATGAGAAATCTTTCAGAAAGTTTGGGAAGGAACAGAGAAGTAAACTGGGCTAATTTATTGATTCAAAATTTTGATGAGTTACAGACATCTGTGGTGACGTGTTGGGATTTGAGTGGCTCAGGTGATGCTTATGTGTTTGCACATCCTAGACGGTAGCTTGGGTTAGGGGCAACAGAGACACTCATTTCTACTCCCCTTCCTCCTAGGGACACGAGCCTCTTGCGTTCCCTGGGATTCTTCCCATTAAAAATGACAACTCAATGGGAACAGAAGCCACATTGTATGCATCCACAGGCCCCTAGAGCAGCCTCCACGGACATGTTACGGAAAACATGAAAGATGGAGTCAGAAGCCATGAAAATGGACCACGGCTGAGCTGACTGGCTTCAGCAGCTGCGGGGGTCATGCCGACCCCAGAGTCACTTGTGCAGCTCTACACAGGAGGGTTTTCTTCCTGTTCACAATTATGAAACATTGAGGGAGAGATAGCTTTAAGTACGAATAATAGTAAGAACTTACATGCATGCATCGTTTTCCTACCATACCTTCAAGACATTTTCTAGATGATCTTATCACAGGTTTTGTACGTTTTTATAAAGAAGAAACATACATTATCCCTATTTATTCAGATTCATTTGCACAGCACAGTGTTGCTACAATTTGCCTGGAGTTGTGGAGTTAGTGAGGGGCTGCGGAATGCTCATCTCGTCAGGGGTGAGGGAGAGTGCGTGCGTGGCGTGCGTGGCTCAGAGGGAGGATGGAGGTGTGAGGGAGGCCTTGCTCCTCCTCCGTGTCCTCCGCCTCCCACCCTGGGGAGCACAGTGCCCTTCTGGGTTATTTAATCACAGGTCCATGCTATGCCAGTTTGTCTGTGACTTAAGACTTTCTGACTGATGACCAAAGACTTTTTTTCTTATAGAAATTGAATTTTGAGACTGAAGATACATGTTGTTCACTGCAGGAAGCCATATGTTCCTCAGCTTTACAGGGCTGCCAATCCCCCGCCTCCTCTCAGCTGATTTCTGTAATTCACTTGGTGTCTCCTTGGCAGTTTCTGTGGGCTCCGAACAATTTCTAAGCATGCACCTCTGTCCTGTTTGGCCGAGGAAGATTCGGTGGCGTCTCTCCTTCGTGCTGACCTCCTGCTTCTGGCTGTGGGATGTGATTGCTGGGCCGGCTGTGGAACAGGTTCAGGGGGTTATGCTTGCATTGTGAGCCCCTGAGCTGTAAAATCCTGGGGCAGGCATCACACAGTTATATACTGACCTGTATTTCTGTTGTCCTTGATAAGACATGAATGACATTTAACTCATAAACCTAATTTTGGTTTAGAAATTATGCCTCTTTTTTTTTTTTAAAGTAGAAGGACTCTTAGGGATGGAAAAAATTTTTCACTTTTCTGTAGGGCAGGTTGATGTGGTCTTCTTAGTGTAAACAGGGGTCTTTAAAATATTACTGCTAGATGTTTTTATGATGATTTTGGAAGTGTGAGTGTCCTATTCTCCAGACAGGTGCCTTCCAGCTCCATTTCTCCATTTCGTGAAGTTGTGACAGGTCCCTTGGTCCTCCTGTGCTGGGGTCAGAATCAAGTAGTGATTGTAAAATTACCTAATTTATGTCAGTGATTGCTAACATTTCCATAAACTCTAAACACTTAATCATGCATATTGCTACTTTCTGTCCACATCTACTTGCAAATGTCCTTAAGAATTTTGTGCAAATGCTCAAAACTAAGAGATATGAGTTTTAATGCAAACGTGCTGTGCAGAGGCATTTTGTAAAAGGATCGAGGGACCTCTGTGAATGCTTAGATTTAAATACGTTTCATAGAGTTATTAGGTAGATCTCCCTTATTAAGTAGAGAAAAACACTTTCAGAAACACATTTTGATTTTCCTAAAAGGGTTTTATCCTCTTTATCCAAAATCCTGGGCCTGCACTAGCCGGGTCTAAGGCAGGCCGGCTAGCTCTGTCACTAAGTACTTGCTACTTAATTGTTTCACACCCAAAATTTGTGGATTGCCAGGGCAACTTTCAGTTCCAAATTAAAAGGCTGTCTGTACTAGTCCAACCCAGGTGGTTTAGTTAAGAGTAATGGTCACGAGAGTGGCAACCCCTACCTTGCTACCCAGAGACGCATTGAACACGACGTGGCCTCTGGGGCTCTGCCCCACTGTTAGGTGAAAATATTTATCCTCAGAAGCTCCTTTATTTTAAAATGACTTTGTTTAAAAAGTTATGGAAGTAATTTACACTAACCATAAAAATTGAAGTGGCACATATAGAATAAACAATGGAAAGGGCAGTGTGGAGCGTGTCCTTCTAAACTGATTGTGTCTGGTGGGGACAGAATTCTAGGCTCATCTGCAATTTTATTTCATTTTATTTTTTTAGAGACAGGTTCTCTCTCTGTCTCCAGGCTGGAGTGCAGTGGCACCATCATAGCTCACTATAGCCTCCAACTCCTGGACTCAAGCGATCCTCTTGCCTCAGCCTCTCGAGTAGCTGGGACTAAGGCATGCACCACTATGCCTGGCTAATTTTCTATTTTTTGTAGAGACAAGGTCTTGCTCTGTTGCCCAGGCTGCTCTTGACCTCCTGGGCTGAAGCGATTCTCCTGCCTCAGCCTCCCAAAGTGCAGGGATTACAGGCATCAGCCACTGTGCCCAGCCTCATCTGTAATTTTAAATTTTCTAGTAGCCATATTGAAAAAGTAAAAACAGGCAAAATCATGTTTAATAATATATTATTTAAACCATCGTGTTTAAAATGTCATCTCATAATCATTATATTAATATTAATAATTTTTTTTGAGACAGAGTCTTGCTCTGTTGCCGAGGCTGGAGTGCAGTGGCATGATCTCTGCTCACTGCAAGCTCCGCCTCCCAGGTTCAAGTGATGCCCCAGCTGCAACCTCCTGAGTAGCTGGGACTACAGGCACACACCACCGTGTCTGGCTAATTTTTGTATTTTTAGTAGAGACGGGGTTTCACCATGTTGGCCAGGCTTGTCTCAAACTCCTCGCCTCAGGTGGTCTGCCTGCCTCGGCCTCCCAAAGTGCTGGGACTACAGGCATGAGCCACTGCACACTGCCTTAATAGAGTATTTTACTGTCTTTTCTTTGGTACTAAGTCTTCAAACTCTGAAAAGTATTTGAGACACTTGCAGCCCATCTCGACTGGACAGGCAACGTTACAGGTGTTTGAGAGGGATGTGGGGTCATGGCGCCCTGGCTCCAGCACAGTGCCACACATGGCTTCTTGTGGCATGCATGGAATTAAGTGCTCTGCAAATCACTTCTTCCGCTGAACGGTGTACATCAGAGGGTTTTGTGTGTATGTGTAGGCAGAGCTTCCTAATTCCTCTGGGTGGTGGTGTTAGAGCTAGAGTACATGGAATGCACCCCAGATGCATTGAGCCATCAGCACACACACTCCATGCAGGACCTTCCAGATTGTTCTCTGTAACAGTAGGATGGCATGGACACACTTGTTTATGCTGGGTGGAGGAGTGCCCAGGCCATTGCTGACAGATCTGTTGAGCTGCTTGGCTGCTGTAACCAAGCCCTGGAGCCTGGGAGGCCTGAACAGCAGAAACTCATCTTCTCACAGCTCTGGAGGCTGTGAATCCCCAGTCAATGCGTCAGCAGGGCTGGTTTCTGCAAAGGCCTCTTTCTTTGGTGGGCAGACAGCTGATTTCTCACAGTGTTTTCACATGGTCTCTGGTGTCTTTACAAGGGCACTAATCCTATTGGATCAGGGCCCCATCCTCATAATCTCATTTTACCTTAATCACTTCTTTTTTTTTTTTTAAGTTTATTTTCCTTTTATTATTATACTTTAAGTTTTAGGGTACATGTGCACATTGTGCAGGTTAGTTACATATGTATACATGTGCCATGCTGGTGCGCTGCACTCACTAACTCGTCATCTAGCATTAGGTATATCGCCCAGTGCTATCCCTCCCCCCTCCCCCCACTCCACAACAGTCCCCAGAGTGTGATATTCCCCTTCCTGTGTCCATGTGATCTCATTGTTCAATTCCCACCTATGAGTGAGAATATGCGGTGTTTGGTTTTTTGTTCTTGCGATAGTTTACTGAGAATGATGATTTCCAATTTCATCCATGTCCCTACAAAGGACATGAACTCATCATTTTTTATGGCTGCATAGTATTCCATGGTGTATATATGCCACATTTTCTTAATCCAGTCTATCATTGTTGGACATTTGGGTTGGTTCCAAGGCTTTGCTATTGTGAATAATACCACAATAAACATACATGTGCATGTGTCTTTATAGCAGCATGATTTATAGTCCTTTGGGTATATACCCAGTAATGGGATGGCTGGGTCAAATGGTATTTCTAGTTCTAGATCCCAGAGGAATCGCCACACTGACTTCCACAATGGTTGAACTAGTTTACAGTCCCACTAACAGTGTAAAAGTGTTCCTATTTCTCCACATCCTCTCCAGCACCTGTTGTTTCCTCACTTTTTAATGATTGCCATTCTAACTGGTGTGAGATGGTGTCTCATTGTGGTTTTGATTTGCATTTCTCTGATGGCCAGTGACGATGAGCATTTTTTCATGTGTTTTTTGGCTGCATAAATGTCTTCTTTTGAGAAGTGTCTGTTCATGTCCTTCACCTACTTTTTGATGAGGTTGTTTGTTTTTTTCTTGTAAATTTGTTTGAGTTCATTGTAGATTCTGGATATTAGCCCTTTGTCAGACGAGTAGGTTGCGAAAATTTTCTCCCATTTTGTGAGTTGCCTGTTCACTCTGATGGTAGTTTCTTTTGCTGTGCAGAAGCTCTTTAGTTTAATTAGATCCCATTTGTCAATTTTGGCTTTTGTTGCCATTGCTTTTGGCGTTTTAGACATGAAGTCCTTGCCTATGCCTATGTCCTGAATGGCAATGCCTAGGTTTTCTTCTAGGGTTTTTATGGTTTTAGGTCTAACGTTTAAGTCTTTAATCCATCTTGAATTGATTTTTGTATAAGGTGTAAGGAAGGGATCCAGTTTCAGCTTTCTACATATGGCTAGCCAGTTTTCCCAGCACCATTTATTAAATAGGGAATCCTTTCCCCATTGCTTGTTTTTCTCAGGTTTGTCAAAGATCAGATAGTTGTAGATGTGCGGCATTATTTCTGAGGGCTCTGTTCTGTTCCATTGATCTATATCTCTGTTTTGGTAGCAGTACCATGCTGTTTTGGTTACTGTAGCCTTGTAGTATAGTTTGAAGTCAGGTAGTGTGATGCCTCCAGCTTTGTTCTTTTGGCTTAGGATTGACTTGGCGATGCGGGCTCTTTTTTGGTTCCATATGAACTTTAAAGTAGTTTTTTCCAATTCTGTGAAGAAAGGCATTGGTAGCTTGATGGGGATGGCATTGAATCTGTAAATTACCTTGGGCAGTATGGCCATTTTCACGATATTGATTCTTCCTACCCATGAGCATGGAATGTTCTTCCATTTGTTTGTATCCTCTTTTATTTCTTTGAGCAGTGGTTTGTAGTTCTCCTCGAAGAGGTCCTTCTCGTCCCTTGTAAGTTGGATTCCTAGGTATTTTATTCTCTTTGAAGCAATTGTGAATGGGAGTTCACTCATGATTTGGCTCTGTGTTTGTCTGTTATTGGTGTATAAGAATGCTTGTGATTTTTGTACATTGATTTTGTATCCTGAGACTTTGCTGAAGTTGCTTATCAGCTTAAGGAGATTTTGGGCTGAGACAATGGGGTTTTCTAGATATACAATGATGTCGTCTGCAAAGAGGGACAATTTGACTTCCTCTTTTCCTAATTGAATACCCTTTATTTCCTTCTCCTGCCTAATTGCCCTGGCCAGAACTTCCAACACTGTGTTGAATAGGAGTGGTGAGAGAGGGCATCCCTGTCTTGTGCCAGTTTTCAAAGGGAATGCTTCCAGTTTTTGCCCATTCAGTATGATATTGGCTGTGGGTTTGTCATAGATAGCTCTTATTATTTTGAGATACGTCCCATCAATACCTAATTTATTGAGAGTTTTTAGCATGAAGCGTTGTTGAATTTTGTCAAAGGCCTTTTCTGCATCTATTAAGATAATCATGTGGTTTTTGTCTTTGGTTCTGTTTATATGCTGGATTACATTTATTGATTTGCGTATATTGAACCAGCCTTGCATCCCAGGGATGAAGCCCACTTGATCATGGTGGATAAGCTTTTTGATGTGCTGCTGGATTCGTTTTGCCAGTATTTTATTGAGGATTTTTGCATCAATGTTCATCAAGGATATTGGTCTAAAATTCTCTTTTTTGGTTGTGTCTCTGCCAGGCTTTGGTATCAGAATGATGCTGGCCTCATAAAATGAGTTAGGGAGGATTCCCTCTTTTTCTATTGATTGGAATAGTTTCAGAAGGAATGGTACCAGTTCCTCCTTGTACCTCTGGTAGAATTCGGCTGTGAATCCGTCTGGTCCTGGACTCTTTTTGGTTGGTAAGCTATTGATTATTGCCACAATTTCAGATCCTGTTATTGGTCTATTCAGAGATTCAGCTTCTTCCTGGTTTAGTCTTGGGAGAGTGTATGTGTTGAGGAATTTATCCATTTCTTCTAGATTTTCTAGTTTATTTGCATAGAGGTGTTTGTAGTATTCTCTGATGGTAGTTTGTATTTCTGTGGGATTGGTGGTGATATCCCCTTTATCATTTTTTATTGCGTCTATTTGATTCTTCTCTCTTTTTTTCTTTATTAGTCTTGCTAGCGGTCTATCAATTTTGTTGATCCTTTCAAGAAACCAGCTCCTGGATTCATTAATTTTTTGAAGGGTTTTTTGTGTCTCTATTTCCTTCAGTTCTGCTCTGATTTTAGTTATTTCTTGCCTTCTGCTAGCTTTTGAATGTGTTTGCTCTTGCTTTTCTAGTTCTTTGAATTGTGATGTTAGGGTGTCAATTTTGGATCTTTCCTGCTTTCTCTTGTGGGCATTTAGTGCTATAAATTTACCTCTACACACTGCTTTGAATGCGTCCCAGAGATTCTGGTATGTTTTGTCTTTGTTCTCTTGGTTTCAAAGAACATCTTTATTTCTGCCTTCATTTCGTTATGTACCCAGTAGTCCTTCAGGAGCAGGTTGTTCAGTTTCCATGTAGCTGAGCGGTTTTGAGTGAGATTCTTAATCCTGACTTCTAGTTTGATTGCACTGTGGTCTGAGAGATAGTTTCTTATAATTTCTGTTCTTTTACATGTGCTGAGGAGAGCTTTACTTCCAAGTATGTGGTCAGTTTTGGAATAGGTGTGGTGTGGTGCTGAAAAAAATGTATATTCTGTTGATTTGGGGTGGAGAGTTCTGTAGATGTCTATTAGGTCCACTTGTTGCAGAGCTGAGTTCAATTCCTGGGTATCCTTGTTGACTTTCTGTCTCGTTGATCTGTCTAATGTTGACAGTGGGGTGTTAAAATCTCCCATTATTAATATGTGGGAGTCTAAGTCTCTTTGTAGGTCACTCAGGACTTGCTTTATGAATCTTGGTGCTCCTGTATTGGGTGCATATATATTTAGGATAGTTAGCTCTTCTTGTTGAATTGATCCCTTTACCATTATGTAATGGCCTTCTTTGTCTCTTTTGATCTTTGTTTGTTTCAAGTCTGCTTTATCAGAGACTAGGATTGCAACCCCTGCCTTTTTTTGTTTTCCATTTGCTTGGTAGATCTTCCTCCATCCTTTTATTTTGAGCCTATGTGTGTCTCTGCACGTGAGATGGGTTTCCTGAATACAGCACACTGATGGGTCTTGACTCTTTATCCAATTTGCCAGTCTGTGTCTTTTAATTGGAGCATTTAGTCCATTTACATTTAAAGTTAATATTGTTATGTGTGAATTTGATCCTGTCATCATGATGTTAGCTGTTTATTTTGCTCGTTAGTTGATGCAGTTTCTTCCTAGTCTCGATGGTCTTTACATTTTGGCATGATTTTGCAGTGGCTGGTACCAGTTGTTCCTTTCCATGTTTAGCGCTTCCTTCAGGAGCTCTTTTAGGGCAGGCCTGGTGGTGACAAAATCTCTCAGCATTTGCTTGTCTGTAAAGTATTTTATTTCTCCTTCACTTAGGAAGCTTAGTTTGGCTGGATATGAAATTCTGGGTTGAAAATTCTTTTCTTTGAGAATGTTGAATATTGGCCCCCACTCTCTTCTGGCTTGTAGGGTTTCTGCCGAGAGATCCGCTGTTAGTCTGATGGGCTTCCCTTTGAGGGTAACCCGACCTTTCTCTCTGGCTGCCCTTAACATTTTTTCCTTCGTTTTGACTTTGGTGAATCTGACAGTTATGTGTCTTGGAGTTGCTCTTCTCGAGGAGTATCTTTGTGGCGTCTCTGTGTTTCCTGAATCTGAACGTCGGCCTGCCTTGCTAGATTGGGGAAGTTCTCCTGAGTAATATCCTGCAGAGTGTTTTCCAACTTGGTTCCATTCTCCCCATCACTTTCAGGTACACCAATCAGACGTAGATTTGGTCTTTTCACGTAGTCCCATATTTCTTGGAGGCTTTGCTCATTTCTTTTTATTCTTCTCTGAACTTCCCTTCTCGTTTCATTTCTTTCATTTCATCTTCCACCGCTGATACCCTTTCTTCCAGTTGATCGCATCGGCTCCTGAGGCTTCTGCATTCTTCACGTAGTTCTTGAGCCTTGGTTTTCAGCTCCATCAGCTCCTTTAAGCACTTCTCTGTATTGGTTATTCTAGTTATACATTCTTCTAAATTTTTTTCAAAGTTTTCAACTTCTTTACCTTTGGTTTGCGTGTCCTCTCGTAGCTCAGAGTAATTTGATCGTCTGAAGCCTTCTTCTCTCAGCTCGTCAAAGTCATTCTCCGTCCAGCTTTGTTCCGTTGCTGGTGAGGAACTGCGTTCCGTTGGAGGAGGAGAGGCGCTCTGCTTTTTAGAGTTTCCAGTTTTTCTCTTCTGTTTTTTCCCCATCTTTGTGGTTTTATCTACTTTTGGTCTTTGATGATGGTGATATACAGATGGGTTTTCAGTGTGGATGTCCTTTCTGTTTGTTAGTTTTCCTCCTAACGGACAGGACCCTCAGCTGCAGGTCTTTTGGAGTACCCTGCCCTGTGTCAGTGTACCCCTGTTGGGGGGTGCCTCCCAGTTAGGCTGCTCAGGGGTCAGGGGTCAGGCACCCACTTGAGGAGGCAGTCTGCCCCTTCTCAGATCTCCAGCTGCGTACTGGGAGAACCACTGCTCTCTTCAAAGCTGTCAGACAGGGACATTTAAGTCTGCAGAGGTTACTGCTGTCTTTTTGTTTGTTTGTGCCCTGCCCCCAGAAGTGGAGCCTACAGAGGCAGGCAGGCCTCCTTGAGCTGTGGTGGGCTCCACCCAGTTCGAGCTTCCCGGCTGCTTTGTTTACCTAAGCAAGCCTGGGCAATGGTGGGCGCCCCTCCCCCAGCCTCGCTGCCACCTTGCAGTTTGATCTCAGACTGCTGTGCTAGCAATCAGCGAGACTCCGTGGGGTAGGACCCTCTGAGCCAGGTGCAGGATATAATCTTGTGGTGTGCCTTTTTTCAAGCCCGTCAGAAAAGCGCAGTATGCGGGTGGGAGTGACCCGATTTTCCAGGTGCCGTCCGTCACCCCTTTCTTTGACTAGGAAAGGGAACTCCCTGACGCCTTGCGCTTCCCGAGTGAGGCAATGCCTCGCCCTGCTTCGGCTCGCGCATGGTGCGCGCACCCACTGACCTGTGCCCACTCTCTGGCCCTCCCTAGTGAGATGAACCTGGTACCTCAGATGGAAATGCAGAAATCACCCGTCTTCTGCCTTGCTCATGCTGGGAGCTGTAGACTGGAGCTGTTCCTATTCGGCCATCTTGGCTCCTCCCCTGTGAATCACTTCTTTATTCCAAATGCACCTACACTGGGGGCTCAACACAGTTCAGTCCAGAGCATGCTTTTCTCTTCTTTTCTTTTCCCTTCTTTCTTTCTTTTTTTTTTTTTTCAGACAGGGTCTTGCTCTGTCGCCCAGGCTGGAGTGCAGTGGTGCCATCATAGTTCACTGCAGCGTCTGCCTCCTGGGCTCAAGTGATCTTCCCACCTCAGTCTCCCAAAGTGTGGGGATTACAGGCATAAGCCACCATGCCTAGCCTAATAGCATTATTTTCTGAGAAGGTGGTAGTGACTTAATGTTTTCTGGTTTCTAGAACTTTCTTCTACCACTGTTAGCCATCCAAATCTTTGCCTTCTCTCAAGCAGACACTAACAGGGAATATCTGTAGCAGGGCCACATTTCTCTGTGTCATTTGCAGAGTTCATTGCATAGTCTTCCAGTCTTGCCTGCATTCCTTTTTTATATTTTATTTTTAAAATTTAATTATAAATTTATATTTTATTTTAAATTGACAAATAATCACTGTATACTTATGGAGTACAGTGTGATGTTTTGATCTATGTATACACTGGGGAAAGAGTCAAGCTAGCTAACTGACATACCTGTCACCTCACCAACTTACCATTTTTTCTTTTTAGTGAAAACATTAAAATTCTATTCTAGAGATTTTGAAATGTTTGAATTATTATTAGCTGTGTTTGCCATGCAATGCAGTGATCACTAAGCCTTAGTCTAAACTTTGTACCCTTTGACCTACATCTGCCCTTTCCTCATCCCCGCCAACCCCACCTACCAGCCTGGCCCTCACTGTTCTACTCTGTTTCCATGGGGTTCACTTTTTCAGATTCCACATATCCGTGAGATCATGAGGCATCTGTCTTTATGTGCCTGGCTTTTTTCACTCAGCATAATGTCTTCCAGGCTCATTCACATTGTCATTAATAACAGGATTTCTTTTTCTTTTAAAGCCAACTGGCATTCCACTGTGCACACACCACGTTTTCCTTATTCATCCATTGACAGACACGTAGGTTGATTCCATATCTTGTCCATTGTGAGTAGTGACTGTGCAGTGACCATAGTGGTACAGACATCTCAACGTAGTGATCTCACACCCAGAAGTGGGATTGCTGGGTCTTGTGCTAGCTCTACTTTGGTTTTTCAGGGAGGCTCTGCACAGTTTTCCACAGCATTTCACTAATTTACCTTCCCGTCAGTGGTGAACGTGAGTCCCCTTCACCCATATCCTCAGCCACATTTACCGTTGCTCCTTTTGAAAATATCCGCTCTAGTCACATGCTGGTTAGCTCAGTCTGCAGGGCAGGAGGCTCTTGTGGCAATTTGGAAACTCACAGCACATTGTCATTAACCAGAGTCGCCGTGTCTGGCAGATGTCCAAACCTGTTCCTGCCGCCTCACCAAAGGCTGGTGCCCTGTGGCCAGGTTTGGTCCTTCCGCCTTCCCCACACCCCCTTTTTATTCCTTTTCCAAGGATCCAAAGGAATCCCCCTGTACCAGAGTAGCAATTATTGAGGACATCAAAAAAGTATACCAAGATATATTTGCTTGTGCTAGGGTTTTGTGCAAGGGAACTAGCATCTGGCAATGAATTACATTTCTCTCCATGAGGTTGTATAGTACCTTATGATTTTCAATGCATTTTGTAGCTTTGTTTCAGCCCAGGCATGAAAATATGTATAGATAACCCCTTTTTTTGGTTTTTATTATTGACTGATCTTTATTCCCTTAAGAGTAAGTCGTGCATCTGTTAAGAATTTGTAGTCTTTTTTTGTATTAAAACTTCATACTTATTGTTAGTAAGGACTATATTGCTCGGGATGGTATACCTGATAGTGCCAAATTTATAAGCATCATCAGATGTTAAAACTTTGTGTTGAAAATTTTTGCTTATGTTTTCTCTATTATTTAAATGACGTTAAGTTTTTTCTTACTATTTCTTGAACTTCTTAATAATGAGGTTTGATTCCTAAAGCTATTCATGGAAGGGTTAGGAACATCACAGAAAATAATCGATAAGACCTCAGGGATTTTTTTTTTGTTGCTATTTTAATTGCTTAAAATGCAAACCTGAATGCAAATATGAAAGCATTTTGAGACTTGCTACAACTGTGATTAACTGCTGTAATTAACTTTTAGTGTGACAGCCCTCTCAAAAGTGGGGTGTTGCCCAAGTACCGCATTAAACCTATGAATGACTGCAGATTACAGGGGTGGTGGGGAGCGCTGAGCCCATTAACACAAGAGGACAAAGAAGTTCGTTGTGACACGGTGATTTGGCTGAACATTTAAATGACTTGTTAAAGAACGAACTTACTTCTTAGAGTCACACAAAGCACATGAAAAATTTGTCTAAGGGCCCATGTCATTGTTGCTATGGGAACTACAACTTCATTTCCTGACATAGGTTTGTTAGAGTTTTTTTGCAACAACAATTATATAACCTAATGTTTGTGCTATAATTTTTTGTTTCTTTTGTGAAAAAGGAGAAGTTGAGTGCATTTAGGAGATAGGATAATACCACTGCTATTCAAAACTGGGAGCTGGGGGGATGGAGAGAGGCTGATTAATGGGTAGAAATGTACAGTTAAAAGGAAAGAGAAAACCTGGTGTTCAATCAACCAGCAGGATGACTACCATTAACATTAATTGATTGTACATTTCAAAATACCTGGAAGAGAAAAATTTGAATGTTTCTAGCATAAAGAAAAGATGAATGAGGTGAAAGATATCCCAGTTATCCTGATTTTATTATATGAATGTAACAAATTATTGTGTGCACCTCCCAGATATGCACATTTATTATGTTTCAATAAAAAGGTATAAAAGTTAGAGCTTTAAAAAAAATTAAAAAAAAAACAGAAGAGAGGGGATTGTCCTACTCATTAGAATTCCATAGATAACCTCTAATAACTGGTAGTATCTTGATAGAATTTTAGCTTGATTTTTTTAAAAAAATCATGTAAAACTTAAGACTGTCTCTGGAATTGATGACATATTATATTAATACATACTCTCTCACTAGGCCATCAATTATGAATACCTAAATATTATAATGTTAGATATTCCATGCCATTTCATGTGGATCAGTATTTTAAGTTTAGCCATCCTCAATTATTTGCCAATCTCTACATGTCAATATTTGATGAAATATGTTAATTATTGACAAAATAGTAAGAATTGAAAAGCAAATGGGGGTTAAATTATTGCTATGGCAGATTCAAATCAATGTGAAGAGACCTGAAGGCAGAGTTTATGTGTCAAGGCAGTTGAGGGCCCCCACCCCTGAACACTGATTTTATCACCTGTTTTTCTCTACTCATCCCTTTTGCACTCTTTCTTTACAACTAGTTAATTCATGAGGGTTTGTTGTCTGCCAATCCCATTCCTACCTCAGAATGCCTTGAAAAGCAGAAATACCACTCACTGAGACCTCGTCTCCCTGTTGGCCCTCTTCCGCGTCTGCTGTGTCCTCAGTTGTCAGGTGACAGAAGAAGAACCAACCCCCAAATCACAATACTCTGTTAGGGCTCAGAAACAGTGCGTGGCTGTGCTGACTGACCCGGGAAAGCTGGATTAGGATGGACGGCTGTGTCTGCAGCACTTCGTGAGATTAACCAGTGACCGCATGACCGCATGATAACATAAAGCTGATGCAATTGACTAAAGTTACAACAAAGATTCTGCCTTTTCTAGGACATCATCTCACAATGACAGATAATGTGACCAACACAAGGTCTGTAACCTTTCCTACTGTAAAACTTTCTTACCTCAAGAAGTATCCCAGATATTAATACATGTGTCTTTTTTGCGCTGCTTAGGAGGAATGTAAGAATCAAACACTCTTCATTGCTCAGAAATACTACAGAGAATGGTTTGCCTGCACTCTGTTCCCTTGGAAACTTGTTTAAGGGAGAGAAGGAGGTTAAGGAAATTAAAATGCATGGTAACATTTCTTTCTTCTGTCTTGGTTCTGGTCTTTTGTTTTTACAGGTTTAAAGGAATCTCATGATATTACATACACGGGAAAGTATCACTTGTGACTGTTTGCACTAGGTGCAAAAGACAGATAGTTTTCTGGGCATTTGGATGTGAAAAGGATGTTGTTTTGTGACCTCACCTTAGCACAGCAGACTTCACAATATGGTGCTCACCGTTCAGTGGCACATCAGGTTTCTTATAGGGGCTGTGATATGAGATGGTTTTAAGGAAGTTGATTTCTTATCTTAGGGTTTACGGGTGCCTTTCCCTACAGTCTGCTAATCTGAGAAAGTGTCTGAGTGATGCTTCTGCGTCTTTGCCTACTGTGTTCTCAAACTCACCCTTCCCCCTCTTATGAAAGAGGGAAAAGGTGTACCCTCCCACCACATCCGGAATCTTGCAGGGAGTGTTGCCCTTGGGTGTCAGAACAATGGAGAGTTTGGGGTATCTGTCTCACTGCTGGTGAAGTTAGTGACTCTAATCAATGGGCGAAACTTATTTTTAGTTTCCCATTTCTTGCTTTCAACATAATTAAAAGAGGATATCATAGCGTTATCGGCTAATTCTTAGGAGTAATTGTTAATGGTAAGTGCTCAGTGATTTCTGAAGGAGTTCCAAGGCTTGAGGGCCATCGCCAGAATAACACACTTATGTTCCATCCAGGTATTAATGCAATCTAAGTTTTGCATCTTACAGCTATTAAAAAAGTCATTGACACTGAACCCAGCTTTCTTTCACTAAAAAGTAATATTTATCCATGAATATATTAGTGAATTGGGAAAAATCTCATTAAGAGATGTATTTCCAATTCAGTTTTAATGGTAATATTTAGTGTTCATCAAAATTTATAATTATATTTTAGGGTCACCTATAAAACTAACAATAGTTTAGTCAAGAAGACAGTTTTATCATCTAGAATCTTTCTCACAGAAAATTTAAAAATGTATTTTGGCTTTTATATGCATACACATGAAATGTGTGTTCATGTGGGTATAGACAGAAAAAGAGAGGAAAACGTCTTTTAAGCTTAAATATATGTTACAGTAGGATATGGTTCTGTAGGAGGAGATGGAATGGAAATAAGAATTTAAGGACAAAAATGAATACTGTAATATTTTAGGCCATTTAATACTAACGTGTTCATATGTGCTTTGAATGGATAATGGCTGGTATCAAGTTGATATGGTGGATTGTGGTATTTAGTTAGATTACAGTTGATATGTTTAAAAGGGTGATATAACAGTTTTATCTCAGAATGTCAAATGTACCCTATCAAGATCTTTTCCATGGGGAGGAATTTAAGATGTGGACCTGAACGTGTGACTGTGGACCCCATACAGTGTTCCTAAATCCGGGAAAGACCACACGGGCCCATGCCTGTGAAGACCAGTGCCATCTGTACACCTTTTGAAAAAGACCCAGTGTCATAATTAACATGGGAAAGGTACAATAAGCCGCATCTTTATAGTGTTCTTTTTCTAGTTTGTAAACTTGACCTCAGGAGGTGTGAGAAGAAAGTTTCTTATTTTACAGCCACTAAAAAAAGGGCACGTCCTGGCTGGGCACGGTGGCTCACGCCTGTAATCCCAGCACTTTGGGAGGCCGAGGCAGGCGGATCACAAGGTCAGGAGATCGAGACCATCCTGGCTAACATGGTGAAACCCCCTCTCTACTAAAAATACAAAACAATACAAAACATTAGCCGGGTGTGGTGGCAGGCGCCTGTAGTCCCAGCTACTAGGGAGGCTGAGGCAGGAGAATGGGGTGAACCTGGGAGGCGGAGTTTGCAGTGAGCAGAGATCGTGCCACTGCATTTTGGCCTGGCCTGGGCGACAGAGCGAGACTCCGCCTCAAAAAAAAAAAAAAAAAAAAAAAAAAAAAAAGGCACGTCCTGACACTTCAGATGCGCCGGATCCTGCCATGCTTGAGCCAAAGCTCTGGGCGATTCCCATGTGGCTCAGGCTGAAAGCGGAGCTCTCATGAGGCAGGCCGGGCCCCTGCACCTCATGCCCCTCTGAGACCGGCTTCTCTCCTCCCCTCAGGTCTCTCTGAGACCGGCTTCTCTCCTCCCCTCAGGTCTCTCTGAGACCGGCCTCCCTCCTCCCCTCAGCCCCTGTGAGACCAGCTTCCCTCCTCCCCTCAGGCCTTTCTGAGACCGGCTTCCCTCCTCCCCTCAGGTCTCTCTGAGACCGGCCTCCCTCCCCTCAGGCCCCTCTGAGACCGGCCTCCCTCCTCCCCTCAGACCCCTCTGAGACCGGCCTCCCTCCTCCCCTCAGGCCCCTCTGAGACCGGCCTCCCTCCTCCCCTCAGGCCCCTCTGAGACCGGCTTCCCTCCTCCCCTCAGGCCCCTCTGAGACCGGCCTCCCTCCTCCCCTCAGGCCCCTCTGAGACCGGCCTCCCTCCTCCCCTCAGGCCCCTCTGAGACCGGCCTCCCTCCTCCCCTCAGGCTCCTCTGAGACCGGCCTCCCTCCTCCCCTCAGGCCCCTCTGAGACCGGCCTCCCTCCTCCCTCACCCGCTGTACAGGCTCCTGCCGGGCCCCTCCCGGGTGCTGCAGAGACCGAATGAATGAATGAGGGAACGGGAGCACCAGGCGATATCACGTACCCCGTGGAGGTGTGATGTGTCACCGTCACCGAGGGCTGTGAGCCTTTTCTGCAGAGAGCTTCGTCAGGAATGCCCAGACCAGAGCTCGCTGCCCGCCGCCTCCGTAACCGGGACCAAAGCCCCTTTGCGAAACACCCATGCCTGAGCTTAGCTCAGCTGGGCCGGCGCAGGGGCAGGAAAAGCCCGTCCTGGCAGGCGTCCTTGCCCCTCTTCAGTCTCGGCCTCTGGCTCATCAGTTTCCTCAGTAGCTCATGGGGCCCAGTGGTGTGTGGGGCGCCTCCGAAAGCCTGCAGAGAGGGTGCAGTTGGTCCATGGAGCTGGGTCCCGGAGGTCACCAGGAGCCATGGTCCGGGCTCCCACTTCTCGCGGCCGAGACACTGGCGTGGTGCTTCTCATGCCTGCATCTTCCGGGGACAGCCACCATTTTCGTCGATTCTCAAAAGAATGACCGAGAGGGAAGGGCCAGCAGAGAACTTAGAAACGGCAGCAAGTTTTGAAAGCGTTTTCTTCCCACCCCCACATAAGTGTAAAAAGCTTGAAGCAGCCTTGCTGTACACAAAGGCACTGCGCGGCCACAGAGAGGTGAGTGGCCCTGAGCGCACTACGCACAGTTCCCTCAGAGACCCAGGAACCAGCGGCTCTTCGGGAGAGACGGGCGCTGCCTCGGTGGTGCCTGCAGAGACCTCCGGGGAGGGGCCTCGCTGCTGGCTGGGAGGGGTGGGGTGGCTGAGAAGGGAGAGTTTCCCTGTTAGCAACTGCCTCCGAGTGATGCCTGCACCATTTAAACTTTTACAAATGGTATGAGTTGGAAGCATCATGAACCTTGTCTTCCGTTTTTTTTTTTTAACAGCGTCTCAGTGAGACCTGTGAACGTGGCTTCTTGGAGGGGTTACCTGGTGATTTGAAAGAGCCTTCAGCTCACCTAGAACCTCTAAGATGAGATGCCTCAAAACACTTCTGTCCTTTGAGCTCTTTCAGGTGAAGGCAGAAGGCAGGTTTGGTCCTGTCAGATTCTAACCAGGAACAAGACCTTTCTCTTTCTTTTTCTTTTGGCTTTCCTTTCTTCATTTAGTTTTGTTATTAAAGAAGCCACAGAACTTGGAATATTATTCTAGGTAAACTGACGATGCTTTATTCAATTTTCCTTCACTTAGCAAACCTCCCTACCCCTCATTCATTTATCCAACTTGATGAATCTTCACCCAGCCTCAGCTGGTCCTTCCTTTGAAGACTGCTGTATGTCTTTCCTGTCTCAATCGCTCGTGTTCGAACGTTAGTAACTATGGCAGAGCCTGACGCGTCTGTTCTCTCACATTTGCCTGTCGATGGTGATACTGACGTTCTGTGATGCTGAGGACCCTCCTTCCCATGTTGTAGCAATCATATACCCCTGGTTAGCCATGCTCGTTGCAAGCCGAGGAAGGGTGGCCTCTAAAAAATATCTTCTAACTTCTCTCCGCTTCTCCAAAGAGAGCGCCCTTCTCCACGCCTGTGCCTGTTTTGAAGGAAGGATGGTCCTGTGATGGGGTCATTCCATGGACCACTCAGGATGTGCAGGGGGCACTGGCCCATGCTGCTCTGTCTCCCCTGCAGCCTTACTTGGTGAGGTCAGCAGTGTTGGGTGGAAGCTGGCAGCGCCCGGAGTCAGGTTCCACCAGCCGGTGGCCTCTTCCCCCCTTGGCCTTGTCTTGCTCCGGGCCCCCTTGCCAAATGGCTTTCTCAGCATCCCAGATCACCCTGGGGGCTGTCTCAGCCTACATCGGAATGGTCACACCCAAAAGTTCATCTTCCTGGAGTGTATTTGCACAGTGCCTCTACACTGGTGGTGCTGTTGGGGCTTGAGGCCTGGGTTTGGGCTCGCTCAGCACTTGGGGCTGCTGTGAGGTGAGGGATGAGGGGTGACGAGAGGCTGTTCCTCTAATTTTCACCAAATTGATTAAAACCACCTTGCTCACGTATGGTGGCATTCCAGGTCTGGCGTCCCTGTCCACCTCCAAGCCAGGATGCTCTGTGGCTCAGGATTCTAGGCAGTAGGACAGCAGCATGGTGGCCACAGGGGTCTGCCCTTGCAAAGGCACAGCGATGGCACTGGATCCCTCCCATGGCAGCTATGTTGGGTCTCCCCCCACCAGGAGATCCTGTGTCATGACAAGCATGCTGTTTGGTGATGAAGTGTGGTAGAAGATGGGTGAAGGATGAAGCTGGTACGTCGCTCCCAAATCATGAATCTGATCCTGTATTTTCTCACACAGCGTCCTGTTGTTATTCTGTAGCCAAATGGCTGTTTCTGGGGCATCGATATCCATACCCATGTGGTCTGGTCGAGATAGCAGCATTCAGTCGAGGCCTTGGCATCTGTGTTCACATGGTCTGGTCGAGGCCTCGGCATCTGTGTCCACATGCTCTGGTTGTGGCCTTGGCATCCGTGTCCACGTGGTCTAGTTGAGGCCTTGGCGTCTGTGTCCACGTGGTCTGGTCAGCAGAAGCCTCAGCCTTTGGGGCTTCCCTGCAAGTTTGGCACCATCCCAGGTAGTGTCCAGGGAGCTTGTGATTATATTTTACCCTTAGATAAGATAGTAGCCATTTACAAATAACCTACACCTTTGATAACATAAATATTTTTTCTTAAGGTGAAGTATCTCAGCTTGGAAAAAAGTGAAGTTTGGTTTTGCGAGAAGAAGCCCAGAGCGGGCAGAAGTCAGTGCTGTTCTGTCCTCCTTCCTGGGGGCAGTGTTTTAATCAGATTTCTTTTAAGAAGTGGGGTGATACTGATAGCAAAGAAATACAGCAGAAGTCACTTATTTTCACTGGGTCGTGGTGGGTTCTGTTCTACTTTATCGAAAGGTTAATGCATCTTTGTGACTTTTTCCCATGGGCTTTTGTTATGCTTCCACTGCTGGTGATGCAGCGTTTTCCTGGTGAGACACCTTTAGCCTCAAGTGGGAAGCACAGATGGTTCCTGTGCCCTCAACCGTCAACACCAGAGCCAGCAGGAACCCTATTTGCCACCCGTCTCTCTTCTGTGGGGAAGTGACTGTTCAAGGTTTTGCCGGTTTTTAAAAACATGCTTTTCTTCCTGTTGAGTTTCGAGAGTTCTTTATGTACTTTGGACACAAAACACAGTCAGAGGTGTGATTTGCAAATATTTTCTCCCTGTCTAGAGCTTGTCCTTCTGTTCCCGTTACCATGTTGTATTAGTTCTTTCTCACTCTGCTATAAAGAAATAGGTGAAACTGGGCAATTTATGAAGAAAGGAGGTTTAATTGGCTCACGGTTCCTCAGGATTTGCGGGAAGCATGGCTGGGAGGCCTCAGGAAACTTACAACCATGGCGGAAGGCGAAGGGGAAGTAGGCATATCCCGCATGGCCGGAGCAGGAGGAAGAGAGTGAAGGGGGAGGTGCTACA
The DNA here is from genome assembly GCF_000001405.40 of Homo sapiens. Taxonomy (NCBI): domain Eukaryota; kingdom Metazoa; phylum Chordata; class Mammalia; order Primates; family Hominidae; genus Homo; species Homo sapiens. The sequence goes on from NT_187572.1 coordinate 70,972, forward strand.
CACTTTTAAACTACCAGCTCTTCTGAGAACTCACTCACTATCACAAGAACAGCAAGGGGAAATCCACCCCTGTGATCCAGTTACCCCCCACCAGGCCCCTCTTCCGACACTGGGGATCACAATTTGACGTGAGATTTGGGTGGAGACACAGAGCCAAACCATATGAATTGTCTTTTGCAGAAAACTGACTCTGGATGATGGCTACTTAAATTTTCAGTTAGGTAATTCTTATTCTTTTTGGGTAACATACTAGTATATATTCTAGATAGCCCCCAAAGTGGAAGCTATCACACTGTCAGCAGACACTTACTGTAACTCCAATGCATTCCAGTCCTTTGGACGGCGTCTGCTGTACCCAAAGTTAAATCAAACACAGGCCCTGCTTGGCAAAGCCGGCAATGCAGTTTAGAGACCTGGCCTGTGAAAGAGGATTGTTTCTCTCTCTCAGGTTAGTGTGGACCTGGACAAGTGGTATTGCCCTGTGTAATGATCAAAGCAGCTGGAGACATGAAGCCAGGAAGTCAGAATCTTAGCTGCACCCCTGACCCACTGTGCTTAAGGTTTCTGATCTCTGTTTTGTCCTGTGGAAAGTGGGGAGATGATGCCGCCTCCCAGGATGGCAGTGGTAATTCAGTCATGGGACGGACGACGTCAGTGCAGTGCGTGTGAAATACATCTTGGCTCCTGTTCTACACTCCCCAGAGCCAGAGCCAGTGGAGAAAGTAAGAATTTGAGGAGAAAAGGTCACCTTGGAAGCTCACAGGGGAGGAGTTTGGATCTCATCAGGGATTTGGAGAATGAGGAGGATTTTGACAGGAACAGAAAAGGGGTAAAGGAGGCTTGAGGCAGGGGATGTTGTAGAGGCTGGACAAGCACCATGCATTTCAAGGGAAATAATAGAAGGGTTTGCCTGGGCTGTGCAGGGTGCAGAGACAGGTGAAGCTGTAAGAGATGCTTGGAGATGACGTAACCAAAATGAAAAGATATTTGTTGGGTCTATGTATCTCAAGTTTGTTTCCCATTTTCTGGCCGCAAGTGTGAGAAAATGTATTTCTCATACTTTGCTGTGGTTTTCATCTATAGGAGTTACCTTATAAATGCTTAGCATAGAGATCAGAATGTAGCAAGACCAGCATGGGGAGAGAAACCTGGAGAAAGGTGTGAGTAGTTGGCTTAGCTGGTAGATGTTTCCTGGTCCCAGTGTAAAATCTGAATGGACTTTGTATTTCAGTAAAATAATATTTAATAATATTTGGTCTATGCTGACAAGAACTCCGTATTTCATTTCCTGGTTTCTCTCTTTCATTTTAGGGGAGATAAATCCATCGGCTATTTCTCATTTTCACCTTCATGTGAAAAGATTTTTTTTGTGTGTGTGTTTTTGAAACAGGGTTTCTTTCTGTTGCCCAGGCTGGAGTACAGTGGTGTGATCATAACTCACTGCAACCTCGAACTCCTGGGCTCAAGTGATCCTCCTGCCTCAGCCTCCTGAGTAGCTGGGACTACAGGTGCACGCCACCATGCCTGACTAATTTTGTGCTTTGTAGAGATGAGGTTTCACCATGTTGCCCAAGGTGGTCTAGAACCCCTGACTTCAAATGATGCACCCGCCTCAGCCTCCCAAAGTGCAGGGATCACAGGCATGAGCCACCACGCCCGGACCAACATGCATTTTTGAGTCATTCTTTGTCATTGTGAAAATTGGATTTGTAATTGTTTTTCTTATTTGCTTAATTTTTCCCCGAATTTTAAAAATAATGCAAGCACATTGCAGAAAATTTGGAAAGCTTTAGAAAGTAAAAGGAATAAATTAATAATCAGCCCTAATCCTGCCACAGATATTTGATTACCAGTGGGGTTCCACCATGTTTTCTGAGTGAATGAACCTCACTTCCCATTTCTGGGAATTGTGTCACTGCCAGTGGCTCCCTCCACAGAGAAGCCCAGGCTGTTCCGGGTTCTCATCTTCCCTCCTCCATGCCCCAGTGTTATCAGGAGAAAACAATTTAAACAGGGATATGTTTTTAAATGTTCTAAAAAATATTGTAGATATTCAGAGTTGAATACTGAATTTCTTTTCACCCTTCAAATTCCTATCCTCCCCACTTGTAACTGGATCTAATAAGTCTCTGGTGTCTCAATAGGTGTATATGAAACAAAGCATACTGTATAATATGACTATACATTTAAATGCCCACATTTCGATTCTAACATAAATAATTATGATGTGCACCGTGTGCTGTGAATTTTTTTGATGTAATATGCCAAATCTTTGTTTTGATATATGCACATAAAGTTGATTAATTTTAAAATTCCTTTAAAAAACTTTTTTATTTGGGAGTAATTTCACACTTCAGGAAGACTTCAAGAAAAGCACAGCAGAGAGAACCCGTTATGCCTCCCCCTTATTCACTTTTGCTGGTGTTTTCTTGTTGCTTGAGCTCACGCACGCTCGCTCTCCTGTTCCCTCTCCACACACATGCACTGTTTTCTGAGCCATAAGACAGTAAGTTGCACACCCCATTGGAGTTAACCCCTAACGACGTCGCATGTGTTTCCTAAGAATGGGGATGTCTGTTACATAATCACGGTGCAGCTGTCACTGCGTTAAGCAAGTAGTTGGATTTGCTGAGTTGCTGGATGTACCTGTACGATGTTGATAGACACTGCATTTACCAATGTGAATTTTATCAGCCTTTCATGTTTTCTACTTTGATGAAGAATGATTATAATATGGTTTTAATTAAATTCCAAGAGTTCTAGAGAGGCTGAACAAGCTGACATAATTTTATTAGATATTAATATTTATGTAATCACCACTTATTATTTCATAAATCACCTTTCCATATTCTTTGCCCATTTTAAAATCGTGGCATTGTATTATTTTTCTTACTGAAGGATTTCTAATTGGTTGTCAAATGACAACCCAGGATTTTCTAAGTGGATAAATTATGAGTAAGTGCTAATTTTATTTTTCCCTTACTAATATTTATACTCCTAGTTTTTGTCTTATTTCACATTTTAGGACTTATAGCACAGTGCTGAATACTAAAATTGATCCTGGATGTCCTTTCATGTTTCACCATAATAAAAACGGTTCTAATGTTTCCTCATTGCATGAATGTTTGTCAGAGTTAAGGTAAATTACCTTTTATCAAATTAAAGAAGTTTCCCCTTAATCGTATTTTACAGGAACGTGAAGTAGAAGGTTCATTCGCTCAGAAAATGCAACACAATACCAACATTGTTTGTATCTCTGTGTCAGAATAAAAATGGATTGATCTTAGTTAGAAAGTTATTTATAAAAATAGGAATGGTGTTAGGTTTTATCAAATGCTTATTTGGTATCTGTCTGATAGGAGTTCCCCCATTTTGTAAGTTTTGAATGAAATAATAACCGTTTTAATACTGAACCATCTTTTCATTGTGTAGTTATGTATTATTTTAATACAGTGTTGGATTCTACTTGCTTCTATTTATTGAAAGTTTTCTCATTTTTGTTTATGGGGCTGAGTGTGTTTTCACTTCCCACGCATTTCTATTGTGCTTTTCTATCAGCACCTTTTACCTTAACAACAAGGAGTTGTCTTCCCCACCCTTCCCCATGCTGAGATGATGTGAGCTTTAGTTTCAGAAGATTATTAGTTGACTTTGTTACGCATCAGCAGTCATTTCCCTTAGCTGTATTTTACTATCAGCCCTCCTTTCTTCTTGCCGCTGGCTCTTCTCCCATGCCTTCCTTGTTAATTTTTATTCGCTTTTCATTTGGCTGATGTCTATCTTCTAGAGAGTCTCTTTGTTCACATCTGTGGGTGGGAAAGCTCTTAGAATCCTTGAATGTCTAAAAATATGTTTATTCCCACATAAAATCTAATTTTACGGAGCATTGGAATCTCAATTCAAAATGATTTTCCTTTAAAACCGCTGCCTTCTACCAGTCAGTATGGTTAGTGAAAAGTCTAATTCTAATCCTGTTGTCTTTCTTTGTCAATAAATCTCTTTCCTCCTCCCCTCGCCCTGATGATTTTACCCATTTTGCTGTGGAATTTCACAGAGCTGTGCTCTCCTTGGGCTGCCATAGTCTGGGCTGGTTTGCTTGGCTTCCCCGCACCACGCTGCTGGGTCTTTATGGCTCTTTCAAGATCTGGTGGCTTCTCTTCCTTCAGTTTTGGAAATTTTTCTTCTATTATTTCTTTCTTTTACTCCTTCTCCTCTGAAACTCCTCTTCTGAGACTTCCTGGACTTGTTCTTCACATCTCTGGACATGTGAATTTGTCTAATCTTTGCATTTTGTGCAATTTCCTTATAGATTTCCCTGACGGAGTCCACAGCTCACAGACTTTCTCTTCTGTGTTCTCCTGTGTGCCCAGGCTGTTTTCTGCTTCATCATGTTGGATGTATTTTTGATTTCCAACACCTCTATTATTTTGTTTTACAGAACCAAGGACAACATCTTCCTTGCACTTCCTGTGGCCATGCTGGTTTAACCTGTTACGGCTTCTCAGCTTTGTTTCCTGCTGGCTGAGCTGGGGGCTCTCCCTCTATTGTGGGTTTTCTTCGCCTGCCATACGACTCCAGGCATCTGCTTGTCTTTGTCTCTGAAATCCTTTTGGCCTGTGGGTGGGGGGTGTTTCTAGCTGCAGGATGGGGTCCCTGGTGGCGTGAGTGAGGTTGGGATGAGCTGTTGGCCGGCCTGTGCGTAGGGAGTGTTTCTAGCTGCAGGACACGGTCCCTTGTGGTGTTGTAGATTAGATAAACTACATCTATTACAACCATATGAGTGAGGTTGGGATGAGCTGTTTGCTGGCCTGTGGGTGGGGCGTGTTTCTAGCTGCAGAATGGGGTCCCTGGTGGTGTGAGTGAGGTCGGGATGAGCTGTTTGCTGGCTGTTGAGACCAGCTCGGTCGGGGAGACCCTAACCCAGTGGTGCTAGAGGAATTAAAGACACACACACAGAAATATAGAGGTGTGAGGTGGGAAATCAGGGTTCTCACAGCCTTCAGAGCTGAGAGCCCCAAACAGAGATTTACCTGCATATTTATTAACAGCAAACCAGTCATTAGCATTGTTTCTATAGATATTAACTAAAAGTCTCCCTTATGAGAAATGAAGGGGTGGGCTGAATTAAAGGAATAGGTTGGGCTAGTTAACTGCAGCAGGAGCATGTCTTTAAAGCACAGATCACTCATGTTATTGTTTGTGGCTTAGGAATGCCTTTAAGTGGTTTTCTACCCTGGGCAGGCCAGGTGTTCCTTGCCCGCATTCCTGTAAACCCACAACCTTCCAGCTTGGGCATTAGGGCCATTATGAATATGTTACAGTGCTGTAGAGATTTTGTTTATGGCCAGTTTTGGGGCCAGTTTATGGCCAGATTTTTGGGGGCCTGCTCCCAACAGCTGGCCTGTGGGTGAATGGTGTTTCTAGCTGCAGGATGGGGTCCCTGGTGACCTGAGTGAGGTTGGGATGAACTGTTTGCTGGCCTGTGGGTGGCGGGTATTTCTAGCTGCAGGACGGGGTCCCTGGTGGCGTGAGTGAGGTTGGGATGAGCTGCCATTTGTGTTATGCGTGTGGCTTGTCCATCCCTCCAGGTGACCTTAGCTGATAGGGACTTCCCTGTTTTGAGGTCCTCCATTTAGTTTGGGAGAGAAAAGTTAATATTGCCAGTGACTTGGCATACGGACCACAGAACACTGTTTAGATACCCGACTGCATTTTCTCAAGTAACCATCTGGCTCCAGTGGGTTTTCGTTATTAACAGCAGTTACGTTCTGTGAAGTCACCGTGAACACTGAACCCTTGCTCCTGAAGAAACACAGGTTCCTGCAAGCCTCTAGCCAGGGCAATTTTGTCAATCAATCAGTGCATAACCTTGTTTTATTTGTGTTTCTGCTTAGACACCTGATTTAATATCTACTGCTGACTCATCAGTGCTGAACTCAGAGCTGACAGCCCATGGCTCGAGCTTGGGCGAAGCTTCTCTAACACGTGTTTTCTCTGTAGGGCATGTCACAGCCTTGCACTTAGACTGTCTAGACAGCACCTCAGCACCAAGCTTGGGGCCATTTTAAACAGTGAAATCACCCACAAAAAGCATGAAAATGCACCAAATCTGGACGAAATAAAGCATGCAAAGGACAGATGTGTGCAGTGTGCACTGACATAAGGCCGCATGTTGCCCTTTCAACTGCAGTGGAAAATTGTGCATCGGAGACTCAGAGGTCCGTCATGGAGCAGGTGTCCAGTGAGAGCAGGTGTCCAGTGAGAGCAGGCGTCCAGTGAGAGCAGGCGTCCAGTGAGAGCAGGTGTCCAGTGAGAACAGGCGTCCAGTGAGAGCAGGCGTCCAGTAAGAGCAGGCGTCCAGTGAGAGCAGGCGTCCAGTGAGAACAGGCGTCCAGAGAGAGCAGGCGTCCAGTGAGAGCAGGTGTCCAGTGAGAACAGGCGTCCGGTGAGAGCAGGCGTCCGGTGAGAGCAGCTGTCCAGTGAGAGCAGGCGTCCGGTGAGAGCAGGCGTCCAGTGAGAGCAGGCGTCCAGTGAGAGCAGCTGTCCAGTGAGAACAGGCGTCCAGTGAGAGCAGGCGTCCAGTGAGAGCAGGCGTCCAGTGAGAGCAGGCGTCCAGTGAGAGCAGCTGTCCAGTGAGAGCAGGCGTCCAGTGAGAGCAGGCGTCCAGTGAGAGCAGCTGTCCAGTGAGAGCAGGCGTCCAGTGAGAGCAGGCATCCAGTGAGAGCAGGCGTCCAGTGAGAGCAGCTGTCCAGTGAGAGCAGGCGTCCAGTGATAGCAGGCGTCCAGTGAGAGCAGCTGTCCAGTGAGAGCAGCTGTCCAGTGAGAGCAGGCGTCCAGTGAGAGCAGGTGTCCAGTGAGAACAGGTGTCCAGTGTGAGCACAGCTTTGGGGGTTCCAGGTAGAGTTTAGCAAGCAGGTGAATTCACGACCGGGCTCCCCGGTGATGAGCTGACTCTGGTCCCGGGATCCCGCTTGGACTTTGTGTCCCTGCTCTGAGCTTGTCATCTGGCCACTCGCTCCTGGGAGAATTCTTCTGTCACGGCCCCTCCGAGACTCCGAACTGACTTCTGCCTTTCACGGTACCCTCAGGATTTCCCTGCGACTGCCTGGATGCTTTCCTGATGTTTGATGCTGTTCTGTAAAATCTTGGTAACATCTGGAGGTTTGGGTGGGGAGGGGCAGAGGGTGTGGCCTGCTCTGTTCTCTCCCTGCCTCTCCTCCCCATGCCACTCCCTTTGCTCAGGTGCTTACTGGCCTTCCTTGGTCTGAGTGGATTCCTCCTCTGCAGCCTCAGAGCCTAGCAGTGCGTCCCTCCTGTCCCTGCTGGAATGCTTTTTCAGACACACAAGCCTGCTGTGCTGCTTCCCTATTTAAACTCCCCTGCTGGCTGGACCTCTAGTGTGTAGTTGTGACTTTGTGGTGTATGACGCCTTCATGGCCCCATGCCCGCACTATAACATGCCAGCTGTTTCTGCAGCTACATCTCCACTGGCACCATGACAGCCAGGTGGCTTCTGTGTTCCAGCCTCCTGGGGCCACCTTCCTTTCCCTTAGTGCAGCCCCCTTCACCCCACCCTTTTTGCTCAGCAAACACCTACTTATCTTTCAAAACACAAGTCAAGGATCACTTTTGCATAGGATCAAACGACAAGCCTTCCCCAACTTGCAAACTTTTAACCCTGTTTGCAGATAGTATCTTGTACTTGAAATGTATTTCCATTGGCAGAGTCAATATTACTTTCTTGTTTTTTAAACTTTTATTAAGGAGTAACTTTTATGCAATAAAATGAACAGGTATTAAGTGAGTTCCATGAGTTTTGACAATTGAACACGACCCTGTAGTCACCACCCAAGACGAAGACGTCCCGTCATCTCCGAAAGTCCTGTGTGCCCGTTCCTGGAAGATCGCCCACCCACCGTCCCCAGGGGCTCTCACTTGCTGCTTCTATCACTGTAGAATATTTTTCCTACTCTTAAAAAAATGGATTCATAGAGTATGTATTTTTTTGACTTTGCTTATTTCACTCAATGTAGCGTTTTTGAGATTTATTCATGTTGGTGCATGTATCAATAGTTTCTTTCCTATTGTTGATGATCAATCTTCTGCTGAAGAATGTGCCACATTTCGCCTTTCCATTCTCTGGATGGACTCCTGGCTGTTGGGAATTTGAGGCTGTTGTGAATGAGGCTGCTATGACTATTTCTGTTGAAGTCTTTCCATAGACATTTGTTTTCATTTCTCTTGGGTAAATGCTAGGAGAGGAACTGCTGGCCATAGATGTCAATGTGAGATGTTGTAACTTTTGGAGAACTTGGCACACAGCCCTCATTGATGGCTGCACTGCCTCATACTCCCACCAGGCAGGGCTGGGAGCTCCTGGCTCTCCGGGTCCTCATCAGCACTTGCTGGTGTCAGTCTTTTGTGTTTTGTTTTATTTTATTTTATTTATTTTTTTGAGATGGAGTTTCACTCTTATTGCCCAGGCTGGAGTGCAGGGGTGTGATCTCTGCTCACTGCAACCTCCGCCTCCCAGGTTCAAGCAATTCTCCTGCTTCAGCCTCCTGAGTAGCTGGGATTACAGGCGCCTGCCACCACACCTGGCTAATTTTTTATATTTTTAGTAGAGATGGGGTTTCATCATGTTGGCCAGGCTGGTCTCGAACTCCTGATGTCGTGATACGCCCACCTCGGCCTCCCAAAGTGCTGGGATTACAGGCGTGAGCCACCACGCCTGGCCAGTCTTTTGTACTTTAACTGCTCCCGAGGCCCCTGTTGCATCTTCACCAGGCTGTTTGCATCAGTTTCTTGTCTGTCAGCTGAAAGATCTCCAAAGGGGCTGGTTCTCTGTCCTGGCACTCCCCGTGGTGCTCAGGACCTGCAGCCCTGTGCCCTGGCACTGGCCAGGTGATGGGTGCCTGCTTCCATTGGCACTGAAAGCAAACTCTTGTTGATTCAGGACCTGCAGCCCCGTGCCCCGGCGCTGGCCAGGTGATGGGTGCCTGCTTCCGTTGGCACTGAAAGCAAACGCTTGTTGAGTCAGGACCTGCAGCCCCGTGCCCCGGTGCTGGCCAGGTGACGGGTGCCTGCTTCCGTTGGCACTGAAAGCAAACGCTTGTTGATTCAGAACCTGCAGCCCCGTGCCCCGGCGCTGACCAGGTGATGGGTGCCTGCTTCCGTTGGCACTGAAAGCAAATGCTTGTTGCGTCAGGACCTGCAGCCCCGTGCCCCGGCGCTGGCCAGGTGATGGGTGCCTGCTTCTGTTGGCACTGAAAGCAAACGCTTGTTGAGTCAGGACCTGCAGCCCCGTGCCCCGGTGCTGGCCAGGTGATGGGTGCCTGCTTCCGTTGGCACTGAAAGCAAACGCTTGTTGCGTCAGGACCTGCAGCCCCGTGCCCCGGCGCTGGCCAGGTGATGGGTGCCTGCTTCTGTTGGCACTGAAAGCAAACGCTTGTTGAGTCAGGACCTGCAGCCCCGTGCCCTGGTGCTGGCCAGGTGATGGGTGCCTGCTTCCGTTGGCACTGAAAGCAAACGCTTGTTGAGTCAGGACCTGCAGCCCCGTGCCCCGGCGCCAGCCAGGTGACGGGTGCCTGCTTCCGTTGGCACTGAAAGTAAACGCTTGTTGAGAGCCTTCCCACTTGATATTTTCCTTAGAATCTTGGAGTGTTTTTGTGTGTGTGCATGTCCTGACCTAGGATTTCAGGTCGCTGAGGACAGTATGACACATGTTGGGATTAAGAGACTCTGTCGGTCCTGTGCCCTCCCTCACTGCCTCTCACCCCACATGCTCACACCAGCTGTGACTTCTTTTGGATGAAGCCAGTTTTCTCCCTAAGAATCCGAGTGTCTTTGGGAGGCCGACACCCCAGGCCTTCTCTCTGGGTTTCAGCTCAGCCTGGGCTCCTTTCTCGGGCTCCTTCCCTCGTCAGCACCGTCACAGCTCTGTTTTCTGAGTGGTCATGCCCAGGCACTTACAGTTTCACTGGCAGAGGCTTTGTTTACAGTTGCGCTTGTCTCGTGGGCAGAGGAGGGAGTGTGGCGGGAGGGGGTTGAATAATTAGGAGCAGCAGGATCCTGGGTGCCTGGGTGGGAGGTGGCCGTACCAGAGAATTAGAGGCGTTTGATGTGCGCTCTGCTGGGAGTTGGAAAAAAGGTTGGAAGTTGGCAAATTCAGCTTACTTCATGTTTTGTTTTTGGCTGGCTCTGTGTACCTAACAGCGTCCACATTATGACAATGCATATTCTGCAAAAATGCATTTTGCAAATGATGCCTATCAAACAGCTGATATGAACTGTGAACTCACTTTTAAAGACAGGGTCTCTGTCACCCAGGCTGGAGTGCAGTGGTGCAAACACAGCTCACTGCAGCCTCAAACTCCTAGGCTCAAGTCATCTTCCCACCTCCGTCTCTTGAGTAGCTGGGACCATGGGTGCACGCCCCCACATCCAGCTAATTTTTAATTTCTTTGTTGAGTTGGGGTTTTGCTATGTTGCCCAGGCTGATTGCGAGCTCCTGGGCTCAGGTGGTCCTCCTACCTTGGCCTCTCAGAGTGCTGGGACGATAGGTGAGAGCCACAGTTCCCGGCCCCTCACTTTGAATTATTAAAAGGGCTTAAGTCTCATGAATTAATGCTGTAATTGCAGTGATTGGATTCGCATTTCTAGTGCTTTAATGAAAGCCGCAGTGATGGCCAGACAGAAGCAGCGTACCGAGAAAACCATGTTTCTGGATGTCCTTTTAAAACTTTCAGCACAGGCCCACATTCTGAAGAAAGCCATGCCTACCTCTCTTGGTGTCTGCTGGCTCTAATCTGGTCTATGCCACATGCCAAGTGGAGCTCCTGAGGATATGGTCATGCTGTGCCCGAGGTGTGGGTCCTGCCAGGCTCCAGGCCTGCGTGAGGACTTTGTGCGGCAGAATCATCAGTGTTCCCTGGTGGTTTGAGAGGGTTTTAAAGATGTACAGACGTTGTGTTTTCTTTAAAGATTAGAGGGCAAATGCTGGAGAGGCCTAGTGAGGCAGTTCTGTGATGTTTGTTTGGTGTTGCCTGTAAAGGAGAATCAGCTAGATGTGGGCTGTTTGCACAATGAGTTTAGACGGTTGTACACAACCATGTAACCAACACCAGGGGCCCAGCCCTGGCTCTCATGGCGGAGCAGCCTCCATCTGCCAGGCATGGAGACTCTAACCCACAGCTGGGCCGGGGCCTGTGTCCTGCTGCCTTGGGAGTTGAGATTGACATGATGAGATGCCTGCATTGACATCTACAGTGGAGAACCTTGTGCACCTGCATGTGTGTGTGTACATGTATGTTTATATGTGTGTGCATGTCTGTGTGTGCACATGCGTGTGCATGTGTGTACATGTATGTGCATGTGCATGTGTGCATGTGTGTGTCTGTGTGTCCATGGGTGTTTGTGTGTATGTGTATGTGCATGTGTGCATGTGTGTGTCTGTGTGCACATATGTTTTCTGAGAGTGGGGTTGTGCAGGCAGGGCTGTGACATTTGCTGAGAAGAGGTTGCTGTTGGCAGCCCTGCGTCTCCAAGGCCGGGTCTGTACTTCCCCCAGCAATCCCCGGCCATGCTGTGTCCTCGCCCCCTCAAATGCTGCTCCTCTCCTTGGCTTGCTTGTTGTGCCCCCCCACCCTTCCTGGGTCCCCATGCACCTGCCACCGTCCACAGCCTGATACACCTTCAATGGCTGGTTTGGGGTTTCTGGCTCATGAATCCTGTTGATATTAACCTCTCACCAGATCCGTGGTCTTCTCTTACCACGCTGCGTGTTCACAGATCCCACTGCATGATCGGTTGATTAGACCGAAGGCGTTGTGCCTGCGTGTTTCTCTCTCACTTCACAGAGTACTGGGTGCACCTTCCGTGGTTGACACGCAGAGTGGCAAGCAGCCGCAAAGCAATAATTATGATCAATACAACTTTGTTGGATTAATGAAGCAGTTTAAGGAAATAAGAAAAGCATCTCCGTGAGGAGATCATCTGAGGAGTGCAGCAGTGGACCTTAGGGCCTTGGATTCAGGTGTAGGGAATCTCCTTTGTAAAGAGAAACTGAGGAAGATTGGGTTTGCATAAGGCCCCGTGGGCCCCACTCTTATGCTAAAGTCTTCAGGCTTGGAAGTGCTGCCTTCATTAGGATGGAGCATACGTACTTTCAGAGCATGTGCGTTAATGAAGTTAAGGAAAGAGCGGTGAGATCACGGAATGCTGAAAGGCTGTGCTGCCTGGTTCGGCCTTAGCCCTGGGTCTTTCCTGAGTAGCTGTGTGGCCAGTGGGCTTGTGGGGCTCGCTGGACGGTGGGGCTGCTGGGATGGGCTTTGAAACACCTGCTTCTCCTGTGCAGCGGGCTTCCTGTGATGAGTGGCTGTCCTTAGCCCACTGTGCCTTCCCACTCTCCAGCAATGTGACTTTCAGCTCATTTTGATGAGAAATAACGTTCACAATAGGCTGTTTCTCTCCTGGGGGTTCACACAGATGGTCCCTGCTCGGGGATGGCTCACTGCCCTTGCTCGCCACCCAGGTGGCTGTGCCCTTTCATACCTGAGCCGCCTGACCCTGTTGTCTTCACTCAAGCTCACTGTCATAGTGTAATAAGTGGCCATTCAGTGAACACTGGGCCCTCCGTCCTCACGGCCTGGGGAACGGTCTGCACCCCTCCTGGGTCCTCTGTCCTCACAGCCTGGGGAACAGTCTGCACCCCTCCTGGGCCCTCCGTCCTCACGGCCTGGGGAACAGTCTGCACCCCTCCTGGGCCCTCCGTCCTCACGGCCTGGGGAACGGTCTGCACCCCTCCTGGGTCCTCTGTCCTCACAGCCTGAGGAACAGTCTGCACCCCTCCTGGGCCCTCCGTCCTCACGGCCTGGGGAACAGTCTGCACCCCTCCTGGGCCCTCCGTCCTCACAGCCTGAGGAACAGTCCGCACCCCTCCTGGGCCCTCCGTCCTCACGGCCTGGGGAATGGTCCGCACCCCTCCTGGGCCCTCCGTCCTCACGGCCTGGGGAATGGTCCGCACTCCTCCTGGGCCCTCCGTCCTCACGGCCTGGGGAATGGTCCGCACTCCTCCTGGGCCCTCCGTCCTCACGGCCTGGGGAATGGTCCGCACTCCTCCTGGGCCCTCCGTCCTCACGGCCTGGGGAATGGTCCACACACCTCCTGGGCCCTCCGTCCTCACGGCCTGGGGAATGGTCCGCACTCCTCCTGGGCCCTCCGTCCTCACGGCCTGGGGAATGGTCCACACACCTCCTGGGCCCTCCGTCCTCACGGCCTGGGGAATGGTCCGCACTCCTCCTGGGCCCTCCGTCCTCACGGCCTGGGGAATGGTCCACACACCTCCTGGGCCCTCCGTCCTCACGGCCTGGGGAATGGTCCACACTCCTCCTGGGCCCTCCGTCCTCACGGCCTGGGGAATGGTCCGCACTCCTCCTGGGTCCTCCGTCCTCACGGCCTGGGGAATGGTCCACACCCCTCCTGGGCCCTCCGTCCTCACGGCCTGGGGAATGGTCCGCACTCCTCCTGGGCCCTCCGTCCTCACGGCCTGGGGAATGGTCCACACACCTCCTGGGCCCTCCGTCCTCACGGCCTGGGGAATGGTCCACACTCCTCCTGGGCCCTCCGTCCTCACGGCCTGGGGAATGGTCCGCACTCCTCCTGGGTCCTCCGTCCTCACGGCCTGGGGAATGGTCCGCACTCCTCCTGGGTCCTCTGTCCTCACGGCCTGGGGAATGGTCCGCACTCCTCCTGGGTCCTCCGTCCTCACGGCCTGGGGAATGGTCCGCACCCCTCCTGGGCCCTCCGTCCTCACGGCCTGGGGAATGGTCCGCACTCCTCCTGGGTCCTCCGTCCTCACGGCCTGGGGAACGGTCTGCACCCCTCCTGGGTCCTCCATCCTCACGGCCTGGGGAACGGTCCGCACACCTCCTGGGCCCTCCGTCCTCACGGCCTGGGGAACGGTCCACACACCTCCTGGGCCCTCCGTCCTCACGGCCTGGGGAACGGTCCGCACTCCTCCTGGGTCCTCCGTCCTCACGGCCTGGGGAATGGTCCGCACTCCTCCTGGGTCCTCCGTCCTCATGGCCTGGGGAATGGTCCGCACTCCTCCTGGGTCCTCCGTCCTCACGGCCTGGGGAATGGTCCGCACTCCTCCTGGGTCCTCTGTCCTCATGGCCTGGGGAATGGTCCGCACTCCTCCTGGGTCCTCCGTCCTCACGGCCTGGGGAATGGTCCGCACTCCTCCTGGGTCCTCTGTCCTCATGGCCTGGGGAATGGTCCGCACCCCTCCTGGGCCCTCCGTCCTCACGGCCTGGGGAACGGTCTGCACTCCTCCTGGGTCCTCTGTCCTCATGGCCTGGGGAACGGTCCGCACCCCTCCTGGGCCCTCCATCCTCACGGCCTGGGGAACAGTCTGCACCCCTCCTGGGCCCTCCGTCCTCACGGCCTGGGGAATGGTCCACACACCTCCTGGGCCCTCCGTCCTCACGGCCTGAGGAGCAGTCCGCACCCCTCCTGGGCCCTCCGTCCTCACGGCCTGGGGAACAGTCTGCACCCCTCCTGGGTCCTCTGTCCTCACAGCCTGGGGAATGGTCCGCACTCCTCCTGGGTCCTCTGTCCTCATGGCCTGGGGAATGGTCCGCACTCCTCCTGGGTCCTCCGTCCTCACGGCCTGGGGAATGGTCCGCACTCCTCCTGGGTCCTCTGTCCTCATGGCCTGGGGAATGGTCCGCACCCCTCCTGGGCCCTCCGTCCTCACGGCCTGGGGAACGGTCTGCACTCCTCCTGGGTCCTCTGTCCTCATGGCCTGGGGAACGGTCCGCACCCCTCCTGGGCCCTCCATCCTCACGGCCTGGGGAACAGTCTGCACCCCTCCTGGGCCCTCCGTCCTCACGGCCTGGGGAATGGTCCACACACCTCCTGGGCCCTCCGTCCTCACGGCCTGAGGAGCAGTCCGCACCCCTCCTGGGCCCTCCATCCTCACGGCCTGGGGAACAGTCTGCACCCCTCCTGGGCCCTCCGTCCTCACGGCCTGGGGAATGGTCCACACTCCTCCTGGGCCCTCCGTCCTCACGGCCTGGGGAATGGTCCACACTCCTCCTGGGCCCTCCGTCCTCACGGCCTGGGGAATGGTCCGCACTCCTCCTGGGTCCTCTGTCCTCATGGCCTGGGGAACGGTCCGCACCCCTCCTGGGCCCTCCATCCTCATGGCCTGGGGAATGGTCTGCACTCCTCCTGGGCCCTCCGTCCTCACGGCCTGGGGAACGATCTGCACCCCTCCTGGGTCCTCTGTCATCACGGCCTGGGGAATAGTCCGCGCTCCTCCTGGGTCCCCCCACCTCAGGCCACAGCTTCCCTCATCCAGCCCAGTCTTCCTGGTTGAAGTCAGTGCTCTGGGCCCCTGGGCAGCATCTCCACCCTGGGGTGGCCTCAGCGGGTCCCGCATTGGGGTCGTGTTGTCCTTGCCGCTGCTTCTCAACTTGCTGGGTGGTGGTAGCTGAGGTCCCAGATTGGCTCATCCAGTCCGGACGGCACATCCAGCTCTGTGCCAGGCGCTCAGGGGCTGCATGGCGGGGTGGGACCCAGCCACCCTCAGAACCCACAGCCCCCGAGAGGCTGCATCTCACCGTCTCAGGGGTCTTTTAGACAGGTTTTCCCTTGATCGCCGCCCTGCATGGAATTTTACTAGCAGAGACAGGTTGCATCTTTCTGTAGGCCGTGGTCTCTCAGACGGTCACACACCACCATAACATCTAAGATCTCTTCAGGTCCCAAGTACCCGTTTTCACCCCTGGGGCTGATGTGGCCCCTCTGAGAAAGTGAATGGGAGCGAACTCGTTTGCAGCAGTGAGCAGACTCCGAGCAGAGTGGACAGTGCTGTGTCCAGGAGGGGGTGTGATTTTACACATAGTCTAAATAAAGGAAAGGTGGGTGGGGTCAAAAGAGGTAGAGAATGATTCCCGAAAAGGTAGGCATTTCTTGGGACCTTAAATCCTCTCTAGGGTTTGAGTAAGGTGAGAAGAGGCCACAAGGAGACCCAGGTAACAGCTGCCATGACGGGCTTGGACGCTGGTGGCGGCTTCTGGGCTCCGTGGCTCCCACGGCTCCTGGCTTTATGGCTGGGGTGCATTTGTGTGTCTAGACTTTGGGCCTGGGTTCATCCCCAGGCCCCGTCAGGGTCAGCTTGAGTGCCGCTTCCTCCCCACAAACCTCTCCATGTTTCTCCAGTGTGGAATTGCTTCCCCCAGCCTGGAGCTCACGCCCCATTTTATCTCTGCCTCTCTTCCTAGAATTATAGTATATTCCTTATATTATACTTACTTTTGCTTGTGGTTTATTCCTTGCTATATAGGCTGTAAACCCTCTACAAATAACATCTACCTCTGCATGTATTGTCTTTTTTCCACTGTTTATTGATTGAAAGGGAAAGGGATCCTTGAGGCCACCTCTACTCTAGCTGCTCCTGTCCATGGGGAAATGGGAGCCCAGGAAAGCTTGGAGATGGCTCCCAGTAGGAGCTGCCTCTGACGTTACCAGTGAGATGCCCACCGAGAAGCATCACACATCTACACGCCCGGCATTCTGCTTTTAAGTTAGTTGTGGGTTCATTCTTTTATAAAACTCGAATCACAAGATACAGTTAGAAGCAGGGCTGCCTCAATCCACTGGCCTTCCATGGTTAGTAGGAGTGGTTGGGTCAAAGGGATGTTTTACTATTTTAGCCAGAGAAACGTGCTGTACTTTGAATTTTATATTCCCATTTTGTGATACTTATGCTAAAATCATGAGCATAATGAATGAGCACATTATGTTTGCACTGCACTATTGATTAGACATTAACATTTTGCTAGCACCAGGAAGGAACTATAATTCATGCACTTAGGGCTTTCAAAAGAAATTTGGAGTCAGATTATGGATAGAAAGATGTATCCGTGAAATACATTTAACTGTAGCTCCAATGTGAATTTTAAGCTGCTGCCTTCTTGCTGGGTTGGCGGGGGGTGTGGATTGTAGATTTATATGGTGGCAAGAGTGGTGTTGGTTCAGAATAGGAAAAGGCCTCTCTGTTGTAGGTGATTAAGCACTAGGATATCCCATGCATGGCCCTGTAGGATTCTCATTGTGGAGATCTTTAAAAACCAGAGGGAGAATCATATATTTGTTTAATAATAGATTATTATGCTCCCTGGAGTCAGAGCTATTCTAGATTTTTCCTTGAAGTCTATTTTAGTCCAATGATTCTGGGGTTTTTAAGGAGACTGTTTTCGTCTGTGTCTTCTTAGATGTTATGGATCCAGTGCTGAGACTCTTATGTAAGTTCAAAGAGAGGCAGGCAGCGATGGTCTCTGTGTTTGGGGTCCACACATATCCCGGCCCTCCTGCCTGTGTGGCAGTGGTGGAAACCGCTACTGCACCAGATACGTACTTCTGTTTCGAGGAGATCTTGGGTGACCGATTCTCCGGCCTTGTTGCTGTTTCCGTGTGTTATCAGGTGACGAGATGCAGGGCTGACATGCTATGGTTTGCTCTGTGTTCTCTAATTCACAATTTGTGCTTATTCTAAGAAATGAACACTGGCTAAGCTGCCTGTACTTTACCAGAAAAGTTCTAGCATAAGAAAAAAGCTCATTATGTTCTCTCTTTTCCCCCAAGATATTTGAAACTTTTAAATAATCTTTTCATTTTGATCCAGCTTAAGTCTTCCAGCAAGGGCACTGGTTGTCCTGTACAAGTTAATATCACTTCTTTTTCATTTTATTTCTTTTTTTTGGACAGAGTCTCACTTTGTCACCCAGGCTCGAGTGCAGTGGTGCAATCATGGCTCACTGCAGCCTCGGCCTCCTGGGCTTAAGTGATCCTCCCACCTCAACCACTGAGTAGCTGGGACTGCAGGTGTGCACCACCACACCTGGCTAATTTTTTTTGTTTGTTTTTTTGTAGAGACGAGGTCTCCCTATGTTGTCCAGGCTGGTCTTGGATTCCCAGGCTCAAGTGATTGGCCTGCCTTGCCCTCCCAAATTGTTGGGATTATAGGCGTGAGCTACTGCTCCTGGCCTCTGCCTTTTTCTAAAAGCTCTAGACACTTACCTGACTGATTCGTAATGGGAATGATTTGCCCCCTAAGCAAACTATTATTGTTTGGGTAGAGTTTTTCTTTTCTCATTTATAATGCCCAGAATAATGAAGGGTTTTCATGAAGCTCTGTCAGTGGTGATTAGGATAAGGACTACTTCTTCCTGTTCCCAACTCCATGACCATATATCCTTCCTAAATTATTTCATTTCTTCTGGATGGTTTCTTAGTCTAGGGAAGCCCTTGTGATCGCCAGCACAGTTGCTCAGTGTGCTCAGGGAGTTTCTTTGGGGCTGGGGCTTTCTTCCTATGGTGCTTCCTCATCTTTGGGGCCACTACGTTTTTATGTCCCGCTAGACTCTTCACTTATCTAAAGATCTTCCCTGAAAATAAAGCCCACACCCAAACTCAGATGGCTCCCAGCTCGCAATCGGGTTGCATTTCACAATGCCCTTGTGTCAGTTGTTTTGAACTCCCAGACCACCTGTAGTTTCTAATGTTATAAAAGTATCCATCCTATAATTTTTTTTTCTTTTTTGGGACACGGTCTCTTTCTGTCACCCAGGCTGTAGGGCAGTGGCACGATCTGGGCTCACTCCGCCTCCCAGGCTGAAGCAATCATCCCTTCTCAGCCTCCTGAGTAGCTGGGACTACTCCTGAGCCCAAGCAGTCCGCCGGCCTTGGCCTCGGCCTCCCAAAGCGCAGGGATTACATGCGTGAGCCACCGCACGCAGCCTGCGCTGTGATTTTTAAACGGTAGTTTCTAATGTCCCGTACACAACTTGTTTGGATGTGGTCCAGGCTGGGAACATAGCCAGCACCTACAAGCATATTTCTAGGGGAAACCACATTCTGAATTTCAGCTTGGTCTGTGAGTTCCTGCTGGGTTTCCCATCTAGCCCTTCCGTTTTGAGGAAGAAAAAGATAGAATGATGCATTTTGCCAATTCCTTTTACATAGAGTTTTTGCCAAGATTGTTTGGAAACCACATGGAAAATTGGGTGTCAGTTATCAGCTTAAGACTCAAAGAAGATGCCAGGCAGCAATTTACCTGTGTAGAATTGCAGCTGACTTGACTAATCGGATTGACTTGGTTGCAAGTGACAGATACTCAGCTCATTCTGGTTGACAAAAGTAGAGACTTTACAGGATCATGTAATTGGAAGCAGGATCTGAGGCCTCACAGTTGTCATGGCGCTGGGTCTCAAGGTGTTACAGCTCTTCTCTCTGGAGGGCGGCCCAGGCAGCCAGGATTCACTGCCCGTCACTCTGCAGCAGCCGTGCCGCCAGTCGTTTCTGGATCTGTGAGTGGCGTGCGCGTCTCTGGACTGGTCACCGCGGCCAGGGGATCCAATGCGCACCTGGAGAATTGGCAAATCCTGGGAAGTATGGAGAGGTAGGGCTCCCCAAAGGGAGACTGAGGCAAGGTAGCACAAGAGGGACAGGTGCTCTGCAGAGAGAGTCGATAGGTGCCCTGGAAGCAGGTGCCCCCCGAACAGGTGTACCCGGAACAGGCTTCCTTGCTCGGCTGCTCCTGGGGTCCCTGCTGACCCCTTCGGGGCCAGCGCTCCATTTCCTTTCTCATGGGAACTTTTCAGTGCATTTCAGAGAAGTCGTGATGGATTAAACACCATTTGCTTCGCATAACCATTGTTGAGTGACACAGCAGACTCTCCTACTCAATTACAATTTGAAATATGATGTCGCTCTTCTTATTAAAGAGGTTATATAAGTTAGAGAACAGTATATAAAAGAAGAAGCATTAAATTATTACCGATACAAATGACTGGGACCCCTAAGAGCAAGGCTGGAAGGAAAGATGAGATCCTTGATAACCGCACTGTGTGGCTGGGGTCGTGGACAGTGTGGTTTTCCCCTGGAACTGGGCATCTAATAACACAAGCACGTGCTTTCACCCTGAATCTCCTACCTGGGACAGAAAACCTCAAATAATTCTTGACTGAAAGACTTTCAGCCACTGCTGCAGAGGTCAGATTCTGCCACGCACTTCTGTATTTAGGGTTTTAACTTGCTCTGTGTGGATTTTTCCCAGTGGGCTGGTGGCACGACATTTCATCTTCTCATCCTAAACTCCGAGTTCTTCTCTGGTGTGATGCAAAGGTACTCGTTCTCATTCATAAGTTCTCTCTCCTCTTTTTCTTCTCATTCATACGTTCTCTCTCCTCTTTTTCTTCTCATTCATACGTTCTCTCTCCTCTTTTTCTTCTCATTCATACGTTCTCTCTCCTCTTTTTCTTCTCATTCATACGTTCTCTCTCCTCTTTTTCTTCTCATTCATACGTTCTCTCTCCTCTTTTTCTTCTCATTCATACGTTCTCTCTCTTTTTCTTCTCATTCATACGTTCTCTCTCCTCTTTTTCTTCTCATTCATACGTTCTCTCTCCTCTTTTTCTTCTCATTCATACGTTCTCTCTCCTCTTTTTCTTCTCATTCATACGTTCTCTCTCTTCTTTTTCTTCTCATTCATACGTTCTCTCTCCTCTTTTTCTTCTCATTCATATGTTCTCTCTCCTCTTTTTCTTCTCATTCATACGTTCTCTCTCCTCTTTTTCTTCTCATTCATATGTTCTCTCTCCTCTTTTTCTTCATTTTATTCTTGATAGAAACCCAAGGAATGAGGTTGTAGATGCAACACTTATGTGTCCCTGTGTGTTTTTCCATAACTAAAAGGCAATTTCTTAGCTACTTAGCTGTCTCTTTTTACTGCTACCCATTTTCCCTTTGAACTTAAAGCTACTTTCAAAATGACGGGGGTGCTGGTGCACAGGAATAAGGAAGGGAGGATGGGGAGGAGTAAATCACAGCAGCCGGAGGAACATAAAGGGGAGAAGGTTGGCGGGGAGCTAAGAACCGGGTCTTGTGATAAGATGTGGTAGCAGTGAGGCCACTTTCTAAGCAAGTCATGCTACTAAGCAATTGCTACGTGCAGGTCCAAGGCAGAAGATCTATGGTGAAGTCCCGGCTTTGCTTCTGGTTGATTTGGATACTTTTACGCTCATCTGTGTCAGCCTTACCTGTCATATGGCGGATGTGACACCTGCCTCACAGGGTCGTCGGCACGTGGGTCTTCGGCTTTCTGTGTCATGGTGTGACACGAGGCCTCTGATTTCAGCATCACACAGGTTTGGCACATTTGACCTCTGCCTCAGTGATACGTGTTGACGATGACTTACATGTGCATGTAGCGGTGTTTGGTGCAGCTCCATCTCCAGGGGGCCTGTGCACCACGCCAGGAGAGTGATGGTGCATTTCACTTAGAAAGATGCCTGAAGTTCGTGGTGTGGGGCCCTTATTTCCTTTGATGATCAGAGTCTGTTCCTGGGTCTGCTGAGATCCAGGAAGGTCACATTCAGTCCTAGGAGAGGGAGTAGCCCCTGGAAGGACATTCCACCCCAAAAGGGCGTTCTGGGAACAGGGAGGACCAGCAGTGGGATTCCTTCCTCATCTGAATGGAACCACAGAAACTGAAGGGTGGGGTTGGTGCCACTAGTGAGGCTGGAATGTGGGGATGTGTTTGGGCACCCAGGGCGGAGCCTGTGTGAGGAGGGCGGCCGCTGTCCGAGCTCCTGCCCACCCAGGGTGGACGGTAGTGCTGAGGGGCAGTGCTGCTTTGTGGCACAGGAGTGTGGGCCATCTCAGGGCAGCCTGCCAGCCAACCCACCTCACGCTTGTGGGAGGCACCCACCCTAGGTTTTTAAGCAGTGTGCTAACACTTTCTCTTTGAGAGAAATACTTGTGAAATACTTGTTTAGCCAGTAATAACCCTTATATGTGACCCTTAGGTACTTAGTACCTTTCACATTGGATGATAATTGCTGTTGCTGCCTTTTTTTTTTTTTTTTTCTGAGATGGAGTTTCGCTCTGTCCCCCAGGCTGAAGTGCAGTAGTATGATCTTGGCTCACTGCAACCTCCACCTCCTGAGTTCAAGAGATTCTGTTGCCTCAGCCTCCCAAGTAGCTGAGATTACAGGTGTGCACCACCACGCCTGGCTAATTTTTTTATTTTTAGTAGACAGGATTTCACCATGTTGGCCAGGCTGGTTTCGAATTCCTGGCCTCAAGTGATCTGCCTGCCTTGGCCTCCCAAAGTGCTGGAATTATAGATGTGAGCCACTGCGCCCGGCCAATGATTACTTCTTCATATTTTATTTATACTCTCTGTATTAGCACGTGGGCACACTTCGATGATTTACTGTTGTTTAATGTCCAAATTAGTTCATAAACAATTATTTTCATTTAGGGTTCTTTCTCACTATTTGAAACTTTGCCCAGTAATCTTTTGACTTTTACCTACACCATTTATTTTGGTCTGAGTTTTGACTGCTAAGAAAATACGTCATCAGTAACGTGCTTAGGGTAAGTACTCTGTCTCTGGCAGGTTTTTTTTTTTTTTGTGGCTAATTTCATGCAGCCTGATATCTTAGGCACTTTCAGCTTCCCATTTACACAGCATGAGTCTGTCTAGTTTGAAGTGGTTACTTGATGGTGTGGCATTGGGAAAAGCCATAAAATTACAGATGAAATGGCTTCTTTTTGCACAATTAGAATCTGTCTACCAATACGAGTCAACCTGACTGAAATTGGTGAAGAACGGATGTGTTGTTTTCATGTGAGCTCACCTCCTTTGAGATGAGTGTTTGGCTGAAGATTCCCCCTCCCCTGGCCTTGGAGAGAGAGCGTGACCAGAGGAAAGGGAAGTGCTGCCATTCTCCCGGTGTCCTAAGGTGATGAGTTTTCTCTGTTTCTTTGTCCCTCACTGTTCATTCTCTAGGATTTGTCATGGGAAGTACCAGTCTGTCGTCCGTCTGGCTCTGACTCGCCCAGAAGCATGGTGTGCTCTGGTGCTAATTTCTCTTTGGTTGGCGATGTCTTGGAGAAAGCCTGGACTGCGGTCAAGGCCCTCAGCTCTGGGACTAACTCTGCACCTGACAATCTGCTCTAACTCCTCCTCTCAGCAGGGCTCAGCCCATCAGCACGACTGGGGGTGTGAGCTTGCTCTGTGTCCATCCCTTTCTAACTACTGTTCATGACTTGTAGGTCTTCAAGTGCCATCTCCTCCTCACCCTCCTCTCTCTGGAACATGTGGACTTTCCACAGTGAATCTCATGCTGTTTACTCTCCCCACTTCTAATCTTTGCAGCTTTCCTCCGTCTTTTAATTCCTCCAATTTTACTGATTCTTGCAATACTTGACAATTTAATATTGCTCAAAATACATTTTGTACTGAAATGCTGCTTCATATTGTTTTAGTCATTAATTAAAATATTAAGGAAAATATAGGGTAGTTTATCTGGTACACACCATTACACATTTTATGCTTGTGGCAATACAGTGATTTTAAAACAATAGCAGATATGAAGTTGTAAGTGCCTAATATGCTGATAATTGGATTTCACACAAAGCTGTTTGCCACCTATTGTTTTCGAAGTACATTCTATAAATGAAACTTCATTACACAGTAAATTATTTTTCTGTAATCCTTATTTATGAGACATGCTGTGCTGCAATTTTTTTAACCATTGTTTACTAAATTCTGTTGCCATTTTTAACATAATAATCAACTATAAAAAGGTGTAATTGAGTTTTCTTGTCCAATTTGTTTATCAGTGGGTTTTTAAACTGAGAACAGAGGAGGAAGAAAAATAGCTGGCGGTGATTTATGAATCAGTTCCTTCATCTTATCCTGTGGCTGTTTTCCCACTATGCCAACACATGCCAGAGCTCAATTTCTGTCTGACACACTTCTAGTTCAGTAATGCAGTTATGTTCCTTAGGGACATGTGTTTACACGGAATTGCAAACTTGATTAGGAGATCCTTTGTCAATGTTGACATCTAGAGGTGGCTGTGGTTGGATGTTCGGGTATAATGCCTGTTGGAAAAGGAAGAGCGTACGGCGGGGTGAACTTGAGGCTGTGAGCTTGGATGGCCACCGTGTAGAAGGCATCGCTGTCATCTCCCGGACTTTCCTCTTCACTTTCTTGGTCGTGACCCTGATTTCTGTTTGTTTGTGCACGGTGCCTCCCCGACCTGCCTGGTGCAGCCTGGGTGTGCTGGTGAAGCTCACTCCATTATCCCGCCTGTGGGCGCGAGCAAGTAACCTGATTCAAGTCTGTGAAACCGGAGAAGGGGCTTCTGGGAAAGAGGTTTCCTCCCTTCTTGGAGACAGCTTCTAGGAGTGTGGATTGCTCCCCTTCCTGGGAATGAGCAGGAACTATCTGGGGGCCCTGCCAGGGCTCCTGCCGTGGTGAGAGGCCACCAGCTTTCGGATGAAGCTCCCATCAACCTTGGAATGAGCAGGAACTATCTGGGGGCCCAGCCAGGGCTCCTGCCGTGGTGAGAGGCCACCAGCTTTCGGATGAAGCTCCCATCAACCTTGGAATGAGCAGGAACTATCTGGGGGCTCAGCCAGGGCTCCTGCCGTGGTGAGAGGCCACCAGCTTTCGGATGAAGCTCCCATCATCCTTGGAATGAGCAGGAACTATCTGGGGGCCCTGCCAGGGCTCCTGCCATGGTGAGAGGCCACCAGCTTTCGGATGAAGCTCCCATCAACCTTGGAATGAGCAGGAACTATCTGGGGGGCCCTGCCAGGGCTCCTGCCGTGGTGAGAGGCCACCAGCTTTCGGATGAAGCTCCCATCATCCTTGGAATGAGCAGGAACTATCTGGGGGCCCTGCCAGGGCTCCTGCCGTGGTGAGAGGCCACCAGCTTTCAGATGAAGCTCCCATCAAAGGATATAAGGGGAAGAAAATAAACCACGGCTTCGCTGAGCCATGGGACCAAACTGACTCTGAGGCTCTGCACTTTGCCTTCCAGGGAGCCAGTAAGTTGCCTTTACTGTTAGGCAAGCGTGAATTGGCTTTTCCTTGACTCTCCGTCAAACACGACATGATTGGCACTGGCCGGAATTCTGGAAGGACATGGGGTGGTGAGGCTTCCGGACTTCTGCCAAAGCCTGTACTGGTCGAGGTTCTCCAGAGAAACGGGATCAGTAGGATGTGTGTGCTCCTCCATCTCTGCAAGAGGGAGGGAAGGAGAGAGAGATTTAATGCGAGGAAGTGGCTTGCACAATTGCAGGGGCTGGTGAGTCTGAAATCTGCAGGGTGGGCCAGCAGGCAGGAGACCCAGGGAGGAGTTGGTACTGCAGCGAGGGTTCGAAGGCCGTCTGGAGGTGAAGGCCCCATGACCTTCTGCGTGACCTTGTCCCTATGGCAGTGGGCACGGTTGTCCTGGGGTGTGTCCTGACTGCCCATGGGGGATGGTGAGGGAAATGGAGTTAGCGATGGTGTCTGCGGGAAGTCCCTGCCTCCCAGCCTCTTGTGTACGGCTTCTCCCTTCTGCCGGCCCCGCCAGACTCTCAGCATCGACTCAGGAGTTCTTCCCAAGAGGAATGTAAAATTGAAGAAAGGGTGGCTGCGTTGAGCGTGGGAGAAATCAGGTGTGGCATTTTGTGGCAAAGGCAGTGTCATTAGAGAAGGTAGTTTTGAGAATGATTTCTTTTGCTGATAATGAGATGCCTGTGACATTTCAATTAAATCTGTAATTATAGAGTAATATATTATAAACTAATCAAATAGATGAAATTATTAGCTACAGATCCTTGCATTTGGTGTGCTGAGATTTAATCAAAGCTTTGATAAGGACGGGGATAACAGATTAGCAATCATACGGCATACAGGAGCTAAGTGTTTAAATGGGGTTGAGAAATGAGATCAAAATTACAACATTCAGCTTTGGAGCATGGGAGCAGCTGAATTCCAGGCACAATAGTGGTTATCCTAATGCACCCATAGTAAAATTCCTATTTAAGTATTTAGGTATTGATTAGATTAATAGTGCTTTTGAATACATTTATGAGTTTAAAACCTTTGGTAGAGAATCTCTGGTTCTCAAATGAGGAGTGGTTGATGGCTGTGTGTCGTGTAAGTGACAAAACGTGATAATAGAACACATGTAATTTTTCATAATACCCCGGTATGCTTTGCTATAGCTGCTTCTTAGCTATAATAGAAGACTTTCTAAATTATATGTTATTTTCAATCAGTAATATCTTTCAACCAACAAAATGCAACATAAAATTGCTATATTTTCTTACCTTATTATATGGTCAAGACAAAAAACCTATTGTGATCTACAGTTTCTGTTATCTCGTGGATATCCTAGTGGTTTATATTTCCTTTTCAAAACGAAAAAAAAACCAAAATGCTGAGACATTTTGGGATTGTTAGTTACAGTATTTATGGATATAAATTAGGTGGGTGATATTTGATAAAGTGTTTATATTCATATAAACACTTGTATTTTGTATTACAGAAAATATTATGTTGTGATTTAGAAGGTAGATTCTATAATGTCATCTTGTTTCTTTTTATTAGAAAAAGATGCCTCATGTGAAATAGAAACATGAACTCTGCTCTTCCAGGCACCCTTGAGGTGTGCGTGTCTTAGATTTCTTCAAACCTATTCTTTTATTTTCAAAACTGAGGAATAAACAGGAAGGTAAACTGATATGGAAATTATACAGTGTGTTTTAAAGGAGGTGAGGGCCTAGACACTCGCTGATGCTGCTGGCTGAACCCTCCTCCAGGGGCCTGCTCTGCTGAACTTTTTGTCTCTAGCACAAAAGTGGGGGCACTTCCCTCTTTCCCCAGCTCTGCATTCCGAGTAGAACCAAAGAATCTGGGGTTCTTTCTCCCTCCACTGACTGAGGCTGCACATTTCTCCAGCAGATAAACAGTGAGATGCCTGTTATCCTATGCAACAGCTACCTGCCTCTCAATGTTCTTCTGCCGAATGTTCTGGGGCCCCAGAAGCAGGACTCCTGTCTGCACTCAGCGTGTAGTGATGAGGATGAATAGATGATAAAAAGTACAGGACATCTAAAGGGAATCATCCCCTTAAAGGAGAAAACATACTGAATTTTAATTTTAATGGTGACCTCCTATTAAAATAAGCTTAAAGGAGGGACTGGAAAAGAACTCAGAAAAAGATCTAATGTGTCTTTGAAGGAAGGTTTCAGATTTCTTCTGTAAAATAAGAGCAGGTTGCCATAAAAAAGGAAGAATTTTAGAATCACAATTTAGTTTATTTTCCCATCAAAATCAATAGAGGCAGTGAAAAGTAGAATAGACATTATAACACCTCAGTTTTCGTAACTGAGTTAAGCGACTGGCCCCAGGTTGTGTAGTGCATAAGATCAAATGGACACACTTGGCTCCAGATGCCATGTTTGCAACACTAGTTTAGCTCTTAGAACATTTCTATTCATGTTCTGAGGATTTTACCTGAGTAATTCATTGAATCCTTACAAATAGCATATGAAGTAAGTCTTATTATTTTCATGTGCCCATTAGGAAACAGGCATGGAGACTTTATGTAACTATGTCCTGAGGATGTATTACTAGTAAGGGCTGGATCCTGGATTCAGACCCTGATTCGGATCCCATAAACCAATATGCTATGTGGAACACCTGTAAAACAAGAATAGGTAGTTTTGTAAAATGACCAATTAGAAATACTATGAACGTTGGGAGGCTGAGGCAGGTGGATCACGAGGTCAGGAGATTGAGACCACCCTGGCTAACATGGTGAAACCCCGTCTCTACTAAAAATACAAAAAAAAAAAATTAGCTGGGCGTGGTGGCAGGTGCCTATAGTCCCAGCTACTCGGGAGGCTGAGGCGGGAGGATGGTGTGAACCTAGGAGGTGGAGCTGCAGTGAGCTGAGATCATGTTACACCACTCCAGCCTGGCAACAGAGCAAGACTCCGTCTCAAAAAAAAAAAAAAAAAAAAAAAAGAAATACTATCAACATTATAGCCCTTGAAATGAAAACTTGGTAGATATTTATAGATCAGATATATCTGAAGAAAACATTAATGAAATAGAAGATTAAGCTAAAGAAATTTCCTAGTGTTAAGCATAAAAAGAACATGAGAAAGCACAGTTAACGGAGCGGATATATCTGAAAAGCAAAAAAGTAGATCATTAGAAGCTAAAGAAGGAGGTAATAGAAAGGGGGGTGTCGCAGTGCATGTGTGCTGCTACAACCAAATGCTTGAGACTGGTTTCTTTATAAACAGCAGGAGTTTATTTCTCACAGTTCTGGAGGCCACGAGTCCAAAGTCAAAGTACAGGAGGCTTGGGGTCTGGTGAGGGCTGCTGTCTGCTTGCAGGGTAGTGCCCTGTGTCTGTGTCCTCTGAAGGGAGGAGCACTGTGTCCTCACTTGGCGGAGGAGCAGAACACCCTGTTCCCTCAAGCCTTTTTAGGAGGGCCTTAGCCCATCTGTGGAGGCTTTGCCCTCATGACTTAAGTTTCAGCATGTGAATTTTGGAGACCTTTTCAGACCATCACAGTGGTCAATCAGTATTTGAGATTAAAATGGCAGATAATTTCCCCAAATTGAGGGAAAATCCTTTCAGATGGATACGTTGTATCACCTGCTAAGCGGAAATAAAGATAAATTCAATATTCTGATGTATCTCTGTAAAATTTCACTGTGTCCAGGATAACAGCAAAATCCTAAACAACTTGGTAAAGAAAATATAAATTGGTTATAGATTGGTAAATAATGCCTTAACAATAATACTAGAAGAAGATATTTATTGAATGTCTTGAATTCTATCCCTAATGTGCCTATCATTTGATATTGAGGGCAAATAAAGACATTTTCAGACTTGGCAAGTTAACAGAGGCCATACTGAAAGGAGGACAAGAGGATACAAAAGAAGAATACTTTGGAGCATGTGTTCTCATTCATCTCATTTTATCTCATTTCTTAGATGTAGTAATTGTTTTATAAATTTGGGAGCTTCAGTGTTAGTTACATATATATTTAGAATTGTGATATTTTCCTGTTGGACTAGTCCTTTTATCAGTGTATAATGCCCATCTTTGTCTTTTTAAAATGCTGTTGCTGTAGAGTTTGTTTTATCTGATATAAGAGTAGTTACTCCTGCTTGCTTTTGATGTCCATTTGCATGGAATATTTCTTCCACCCCTTTATTTTAAGTTTATGTGAGTCCTTATATGTTAGGTTAGTCTCTTGAAGACAGCAGAAACTTGGTTGGTGAATTCTTATTCATTCTACCATTCTGTATCTTTTAAGTGGAACATTTAGTACATTTACATTCAATGTTAGTATTGAGATGTGAGATACTATTCCATTCATCATGCTATTTGTTTCCTGAATACCTTGGGTTTTTTTTTTTTCATTGCATTGTTGTTATATGTAATAGGTCCTGTGAGATTTATGCTTTAAGGAATTCTACTTTGGTGTATCTCAAGGATTTGTTTCAAGATTTAGAGCTCCTTGTAGCAGTTCTTATAGTGCTGGCTTGGTAGTGGGGAATTCTCTCAGCATTTGTTTATCTGGAAAAGAGTGTATCTTTCCTTCATTTACGAAGCTTAGTATCACTGGATGCAAAATTCTTGGCTGGTAATTGTTTTGTTTAAGGAGGCTAAAAATAGTACCCCAGTGCCTTCTAGCTTTTAGGGTTCCTGCTGAGAAATCTGTTAATCTGATAGGTTTTCCTTTATAGGTTAGCTGATGCTTTTGCCTCCAGCTCTTAAAATTGTTTCCTTTGTCTTGACTTTGGATAACCTGATGACTATGTGTCTAAGGTGATGATCTTTTTGTGATGAATTTCCTGGGTGTTCTTTGAGATTCTTGTATTTGGGTGTCTAGATCTCTAGTAAAAACAGGAAGTTTTCTTTGATTGTTCCCTCAAATATGTTTTCCAAATGGTTAGATTTCTCTTCTTCTCTGGAAACAATTATTCTTAGGTTTGGACATTTAACACAGTCCCAAACTTCTTAGAGGCTTTGTTCATATTGAGTGGATCACAAGGTCAGGAGATCGAGACTATCCTGACTAACACGGTGAAACCCTGTCTCTACTAAAAATACAACAAAATTAGCCTGGCGCGGTGGTGGGCGCCTGTAGTCCCAGCTCCTCAGGAGGCTGAGGCCGGAGAAAGGTGTGAACCTGGGAGGCGGGGCTTTCAGTGAGCCAAGATCGTGCCGCTGCACTCCAGCCTGGGCGACACAGCGAGACTCCGTCTCAAAAAAAAAAAAAAAAAAGAAAGTTATCTTTTCTTTGTCTTTGATGGGCTGGGTTAATTTGAAAGCCTTGTCTTAAGCTCTCAAGTTCTTTCTTCAGTTTGTTCTATTCTATTGCTGAGACTTTCCAGTGCATTTTGCATTTCTCTAAGTTTGAACTTGATTTCCAGAAGTCATCATTGTTTTTTATTTATGCTATCTATTTCACTGAAGAAGGTTTCTTTCATATACTGTATTATGTTTCTTCATTTCCTTAAGTTGGACTTCACCTTTCTCTGCTGCGTCCTTGATTAGCTTAATAATTGACCTGAATTATTTTTCTGGCAATTCAGAGATTTCTTCTTGGTTTGGATCCATTGCTGGTGAGGTAATATGATCTTTTGGGGGTGGTAAATAACCTTGTTTTATCCTGTTACCAGAATTGTTTTTCTGGTTCCTTCTCATTTGGGTAGACTACATCAGAGGGAAGATCTGGGATTCAAGCGCTGCTGTTCAGACTCTTTTCTCCCACGGGGTGCTACCTTGATGTGGTGTTCTCCCCCTTCCCTTAGGTATGTGGCTTCCTGAGAACCAAACTGTAGTGATTGTTTTTGCTCTTCTGGGTCCAGCCACCCGGTGGAGCTACTAGGCTCTGAGCTGGTGCTGGGAGTGTCTGCAGAGTCCTGTGATGTGATTTTTGTCTTAAAGTCTTGCAGATGTGGATACCAGCACCTGCTCCGGCGGAGGGGGCAGGGGAATGAAATGGACTCTGTGAGGGTCCTTGGTTGTGTTTTTGTTTAGTGTGATGGTTGGCCTCCAGCCAGGAGGTGGTGCTTTCAAGAGTGCATCAGCTGTGGTCCCATAGGGAGGAAGCAAACTTGCCCTAGGGTGTACCTGGTTAAATATTCAGGTTTCTCGGGCAGTGGGCAGGGCCATAGAGCTCCCAAGATATTATGACCTCTGTTTCAGGTACCAGGGTGGGTAGAGAAAGACCACCAGGTGAGGGGCAGGGACAGGCATGTCTGAGCTCAGACTCTCCTTGGGTGGGGCTGGCTGCAGCTGCTGTGGGGGATGGACATGTGGTTTCCAGGCCAATGAAGTTATATTCCCAGGGGGATTATGGCTGCCTCTGCTGAGTCACACAGGTCGCTAGGGAAGTGGGGGAAAGCTGTCAGTGACAGACCTCACCCCACTCCCACGCAGCCCGCTGTCCTAAAGGTTGGTCTAACTCCCACCGTGCCCCACCAACAGTACCGAGTCTATTTCCAGGCAGCCAGTAACCCCCTGAGAATTTTCCCTGGAACTTTCCCTGAACCACGAACCTCCCCATTGAGAAAGCACAGACTCACGGTTTTTCTGCATTTCAGGGAGCCTGCAGCACTGATCTAGTTCCTTCCAAGGGTCTGTGGATTCTCTTGGCTTTCCTAGTATGTTCCTGCCGTAGTTCTTGGGGCAAAAGTTAATGACGTGAGTCTCTACATGCTGCTCTGTACATCCGAGTGGGAGCTGCAAGTTAGTCCTGCCTCCTATCTGTCATCTTAATCCTCTCTGCTGTTTAAAAGAACATGTGCAAACTGTGCTGAGAATAGGAAACTTGTGGCAAGATTTATAAAGAAAATAAAGAGAAAATTCAAGAGTATACAGTTAGTGAAAAATGTTATAGAATCATAAAGTTAGAAGAAATAGAAGATGATCTGTAGAAATTTTTGCTGAGAAATTTGAAAATCAAGATAAATGATTTGTTTTCTTGGTGACTATAAATGATATAAATTGATTCAACAAAACTTAGAAAAATTTAATGGAGCAGTAACCATGGAAAAACTAAAAATTTTCATAGATGTCTTTTTACAAGAGGAACTGGCTCAGATATTTTATAGGTAAACTCTTTAAAACCTTTTAGGAAATGATCATTTTATGTTATCTCAGACTAATAAGCATCAGTCTCATTTAATGACTGAATCCAGAATTTGATAAGTATCACAGAAAAGGGCTGACCTTATTTAAGAATATATAAATTTGCTACCCAAAATGTTAGCCAGTTGAATCTAGTTCGATGTTAAGTATGAGCGTAAGCTTTGCCTCATAAGTGCAATGTTATTTTAATAATAGTATCCCTATGTAGTAATGCATAAGATAAGGATATTTAAAAAACCCCTCATGACTATATCAATAGATATCGTAGGACCTTTAAGCAACATAGCAGCCGTCTGTGATAGAAATTCTAAGTGAAAGAGAAATGGCAGGAAACTTCCGTGAAACAGGTCAAGATATGATCAGAAACTCAACAGGTGCAGGAGTAAGTGGGAAAATGCTAAAGTATGGAGCAAAGCGGCAATGCCACAGTCATTACTATTATTCCATTTCTTCTGAAGTCTCTACTATCTTGGGAAAATATATGAGAAAAGATATTGGGAATCAAGAGACTTATTTTCATTGGAAAATGATAAAGACTATACAAAATCCATAAGATAATTAGTAACGTTGGGCATGGAGAACAAATATGAGATCAATGAATGAACATTATTAACTGTACTGTGCATGACAGAGTAGTGGAAAAGTAGGCGCATCCTCAGAAAGAATAAGCCTCACAAAATATATTGGAATGAAACAGGAATGTGTAAGATTTATAGGAAAAACAATGAAACACCTGGGAGGTACGTAAAACATCATCAAGTACTTGGTGTGGAGTGGTGCTTGTGTGGCTGACTCGGCATGGAAATGTGGCACTTCATGGAAGTGGTGACTGTGGATTATATCATTTCCATGCGAACCCTTTCCTGTTTGGATTGGTCATGAAAGTGGGAATAGGGGAGTGGATTACGTGGTAATGAAGTTAACCTATAAGAACAAATTCACAAGATTGTTCAATAAGATGTGTTAGAGAAAAAAATGAACCATGAGAGTTCTTGTCTACTAAGAGAAACACACTAGTGCTGTAGGAGATAAATCAATCTGTAGAACAAACTGTTTTATGTGGGTAACATTTTCAAGTTAGTCAGGAAAATATGGATTCTTCAGTAAATTTGTTGGGATAACTGGTTATCCATTGGAGAAAAAATTCATTTCCATCTCACAACACAACAAAGTTTTAAACATGTTAAATATGTAATCATTAAAGATAGTTACTGAAAGTCTAACAGAAAATTTAGTACAATATGTTTTTTAAATTGTGGAATTGGGAAGATCTTTTAAATCACAGAAACAGTGAAGGAAGGAACTGATAGATTTGGACACATGCATATGAAACCCTTCTAAACTGTTGAAAGATATCATTAATGGGGCTAATAGGCAAATGACAAACTGAAAAAACATTTGCAATGTGTAGAATAGATAAGCATCCGGCATATGTAAAGAGTTCCTCGAAAGCAATGAAAAATTTATCCCCCAAAAGAAAAAAACTAAGAAACAGTTTACACAGAAATTTGTTTGCTCAATAATCACATTAAAAGGTCCCCAGACTCTAGGAAAACAGTGAGAAACTATTTTTTTCCACCAGAGGCAAAAGCAAGAAGATTGTTGATATGTGGCAATGTAAATGGAAACCAATGTTTTAGTAGCATTTTGGGCTCATGTGCATATCCTTTGACTCAGTAATTCTGTCTAGAAACCTATCTGCATAAACTCACATAATGAGAAGCATTAAAAAATGTATGCAGAATTCTTAGGAAATGGGAAAATTGGAGATAACCTAAATACTCAAGAGTAAGGGATTTGTGGGGCTAAAATAATTGTGATTGTTTCAGGCCAGGAAGATGTAGTTCTGTCTGTACCGATATGGAGAAATGTTAATATATTAATAGGAAGTGGATAAGTCTTGAAGAGCAGAATGTGAATTCTAGAACGGTGGAGAGTTGAACAGTAAGTGCCTGGAAATGAATAGGCAATTTAGACTGACAGTCACATAAAATGTACGTTAACTGCTTACAGGAAACCAACGGTTGATTTTCAGTTTGTTTATTATTTTATAATGAATATTTCCCAAATGTGCTTGCTACAATAAAAGTCAGCTAATTTTCTTACCTTATTAGAATTTTACATTTGAAAGTATTTACATGGCGTTAACTAACTAATCATCAAACAGATGTTTGGTCAGAGATTCTGGTGACAACAAAGTTTCAGCAGATAGCAGGCAATGTTCAGCAGCCCTGACCTTCAGGAAAGTCAATATAACATGATCATAGTTTTTAAGGCTATATAAAGTGTATGTAGGAGAGTGTTTTGCGATCACCAGCTCAGTGAGAAGAAAAGACTGGCATATCTTTCCAGTGTAACTTTATCAACCTAATAAGTCTCCTTAAAAAAACACAAGTGTTCGTACTTCCTCCGATTCATTTCTGGCGGGGAATAATAATTTCATGCATTAGTATGCCATGGAAAAAATGAGCTGGGAATTTTGTAATTTATCAAAAATACATATATTAGCACCTTCTTTTTAAAAACATGCTACACTGAATTTCATCTGGGTACATAGCATTTTTGTCTCCTGGAAAGAAAATGATCAATTATTAATATTCTCTGGTACTGGTTGTTTGTTTCTTGGAATCTGTTTGGTTCTTTGCAGAACTGGACTAATTTCACAGATAGCTATTTTTCATCAAATTATATAAGGAATCATCATAATTGCTGATTTAAAGTATGGTTTTATTATTTCTCTTTGGTTCAATATTTCAAAATGGTTAAATGTACATTATTATCATTTCAAATCCTGCTTTAGAATGGAAATAGTAGTTTCCATGTTCATACATCCTGGATCCACGCACACAGCGTGCCATTCCACGGTCTGGTCTACAAACAGTTGGTGGTGATTTTTATATACAGTTTCTGTGCCTACTTCTTCTTGCCATATTGCTCTTTTCAGCTGATTAATTATTGCTTAGTCTCACTTTTTAATGTACATTCCATTTTTTTCCCCATAGGGGAGGTTATTTACCCTTTTTATCACATTTTCCCCATCTCTATCCATTCCTCACCTAGGCTTTCTCGCCATCCGAGGCTTGGCCCTAGCCCTGCGCGGCTTCCCTCGCGGCTGCGAACCCTCTGCCTGCGCCCAGCCCAGCCACAATGGGGACTGCTCAGGTACAGTGTGATCTTGCTCTTGCTTCCTGTGTGTGTCCGTCTTGCGGTCCTTACCCAGCATTTGCTTACTTCCTGCTGTGATGGGTGCTCCACCCGGGGAGGGGCACAGGGGTGACGGGGGCCTGGCCAGGCTCAGGCTACCTGGAAGGAAACAGGCAGCCGGGTATGGTAAGGCCGGGGGTGAGTGTTCCTGGGGCAGAAGCAGGAGAGGCTGCGGACACTGTCCACAGCTTCAGCTGGATGTTTCTCTGTTCAAACAGAGCTGTGTTTAAAAACTTCTCATGCGCACAGTGTTTCTGCTGTTATCATTGGCAGTGGTGAGAGAATGTTGAGAAATTCGGGAGGCCTGACAGAGAGTAGGAGCAGGGCCACGTCACTGCGTGTGCTCCGAATGAATCTGTGCATTCACCAAGTGTACGTGTGACTGCAAACTGTCCCCAAATACTGCCAGAATGGAGCTTTTCAAATAGCAGTCTGAACTGTTTTCCAGTGGCTTTCAAAGAGCTTTCCTGTGGAAGCTGGTGGTGTGTGGGGAAGCAGGAGTGCATGTCCACAGGCCTGGGCGTGGTGAGATGGGACACAGCCTTCGGACAACAGCATCCCGGGGCTGTGGACGCCACAGTGACCACTGCTGGGTGCTTCAGGGACTGTCCAGAGGGCCATGCCCACCTCCTGCAGTCCCCAGACCCACAAAGAGCAGATTGGAGAGGAGGGTTTTGTCAGTTTACCTGCCCCAGTGCCAGTGGGTGAAGCAAACAGTCACGGAGACGGCATTTCACGAGATTTGTCAAAGGGAAGAGAGGATTATTTCTTATTTCTTATTCCAGAGGTGCTTTGCACTGATGGAAAGGTCTAAATTTCAGGGGGGGGCATGTTGCTGCCACTGCCTGTCATCTCCTTCTGTTTCTTTCCTTCTTTTACGTCTCACTTGGTGGCAGCTTCACACGTTCTGGCTCAGAGTTCCGATACTTTCTCTACCCACTTGGTGGCCTCAGAAGATGGTGTTGACTTCAGGCTGCCAGACCAAGTTGCCACCTCAGGAACAGGCAGCTCTTGTTCTGGCATTTCGGGAGCTCTGTGTACAGCTTCTGAGGAGTTGTAAGGCGAGCTTGAATTCATTATTATTATTATTATTATTATTGATATCTGCTTTCCCCCTGATCAGAAAAGACAGTTCACAGTACGCTTGTCAACTCTCCATTGAAACTCCCTGTAACTAGCAAGGGGCAATTGCTTATTTGTACTGTGAATTAGT
Source organism: Homo sapiens (assembly GCF_000001405.40). Classification (NCBI taxonomy): domain Eukaryota; kingdom Metazoa; phylum Chordata; class Mammalia; order Primates; family Hominidae; genus Homo; species Homo sapiens. The sequence continues at coordinate 107,434 of NT_187572.1, forward strand.
TAGGGTGCTTAATTGCAAAGAAAAGACTCACTCTGGTGTGTTTAAGCAGAAGATAACTTGTTAAAAAAGAAATCAGGCATCCCAGAGACCCTTGACTTCCGTCAGCTCCAGCAGCACGGGGCTCAGCAGGAGACCCCCAAGAGCTCTGCACAGACCCCTTCCTGGGACACGCACCCCAGCAGGGATGTGTGGGTGTCAGGATATAGCTGTGGCGCCTGCCTCCAGCTGCCAGAGATGTTGATCGAAATGTTTTTGTTGTTGATGTTTGTCGTCGTTTTGTCTTGCACTTTGGGAAGTGGTCATTCGCAGCACGGGGAGCTGTCAGAAGTGCAGGGAGGCCATTCGGGAGCCCGGGGCAGCCAGGACGGGGGAGGTCAAGAGTCTGCGGCCTGGGTCCATCCACCCGGGCTGTCCTCTCGTTCTCTTGTTGTGCGATGACAGTGGCAGCGCCCGTGACACACAGCTATCCCTTATACGATGGAACCCCACTTAGCTTTATCCCAAAGGGGAAGTTGCAATCACATTTGTCACTTCCCCTAACTCCGAAAGGATCCTGGGACAACGTTTCTTCTTCTTTTTTTTTCTTCTTCTTCCTCCTCTTCCTTTTTCCTTCTTCTTTCTTTCTTCTTCTTTTCTCCCTCTGTCACTCAGGCTGGAATGCAGTGGTACCATCATGGCTCACTGCAGCCTCAACCTCCTGGGCTCAGGTGATCCTCCCATCTCAGCCTCCTGAGTAGCTGGGCCTATAAGTACTTGCCACCATGCCTGGCTAATTTTTGTATTTTTTTGTAGAGATGGGGTTTTGCCATGTTGCCCAGGCTGGTCTTGCACTCCTGGGCTCAAGCAATGTCTTTGTCTCGGCGTCCCACAGTGCTGGGATTGCAGGTGTGAGCCCACCATGCCCGGGCACATTCCTTCTTCTTTCTGTGGTTCAGCACAGCCCCTCTTGATTTAGATGCTGCCAGGGTTCCCTGCAGGAAATGAGGGAGCGCGTTGGCTTACTTTTCCTATATAAATATCTGCATGACACAGCAGTGTTACGGGCAGCTTTTATGGTTTGAGGACCCAGTATTCGTGACTCCTGTCCCCACCCCCACCTGTGTTCCCCTTGTCCTGGCCCCAGTCCTGGCTCCGGGAGCTTCCCCTCTGGTGAAGATGACTGCTGACCTCCTGGTGGTTCCGCCTGTTTGGGTTCACTGGGGTCACTGCCATCCTCTGCAAGCTTTGTCTGGTAAGTGTGGTAGTGCTAGCGATTCAGAGGACCCAGGATCCAGACATGCTGCCCTCATCAGCAGCAAAAGAAGCTCTCCTGCACCCCAGGGATGTGGTCACACCCACTTCCTTTCTGCCCACTGGTTTGGTGGCACAGGCAGCTCAGCCTCCAGCCGCAATTCACTGGAGCACCCCGCATTGTCCCCTGGCATCTCACTCCCTGAGGGGCCATGGAAGCCGCAGGGCATCAGGGGATAGGAGACAGAGATTTTGAGAGGGCCCGCCCCACCTCCGTGGCGGTCTTTGGAGCGATGTCTTCTGGCTGCAGGACAAGCAGCACCCTGCGTTGACTCCAGGTGCGAGTAAGATACGCACCACATCCTGCAGGAGCCGGCTTGAGAAATCCCCCAGAACTCACTGCAGACCCTGCCAGAGGAGGGCTCTTCCTCTGCCCTCACTGTCCCCAAAATGACCCCACAGAACCATCTGCAGGGTCTCTGCTACCGTACGGCTGTCAGGATACATACATGCCCTGGACGCCTGAGACCCACGTGCCTGTGGTTCAGCCACACAGCTGTTGGATCAGGTTGTGCTGTTAGATTCTACCTTGGGAGGGTGGAGCTTTCTGTGGGAAACTGTACACCTTTAGGATGAACAGGCACACAGTTAGGATTTGGGATCAGAGAGTTCTCTGTTGTGGGCTTTCCTGGGTGTGGAGGCTGTTCCACAGAAGCTGGCCTCTGCCCGGAGGCAGCCGCACTTCCTTCCAGTGGTGAGTGCCAGGCAGTCTTCAGCACCACCAAGTCCTGTGGGCAAAGCATTCCCCACCCACTGAGAAACTTTGTTAGCATGAAGTTCATCTTGTTCCCTTATTATCTCTAACGACATCATCCCTCTCATTCCAGATGTTGCTAATTTGGGTCTTCTCGCTGTTCTTCCTCTTCAGTCTGAAGTTTATCCATTTTATTGATTTTATCAATGAACCAGATTTTGGTCTCATTGATTTTCTTTTTTAAAAATTTTTAATTATTGTGGGTTCATATTAGGTGTATTTATTTATGGGCTACTTGGGATATTTTGATACAGGCATGCACTTCAAAATAATCACATCAGGATGAAAAAGGTATCTGTCACCTCAAGCACTTATCTTTACTTTGTGTTATACACAATCAATTATACTCTTTTAGTTATTTTAGAACATACAAGAAGTTGTTGACTGTAGTCACCCTGATGTGGCATCAAATACTAGATTGTATTCATTCTATCTGACTATATTTTTATACGCATTAACCAGCCTTTCTTACCCTCCACTACCCTGGGAACCGTACTTCTTCTCTATTTGCATGAGTTCAGGGTTGTAATTTTTGCTCCCACAAATAATTGAGAACATGCTGTGTTTATCTTTCTGTGCCCAGCTTATTTCACATAACACAATCAACTCCAGTTCCATCAATATTGTTGCAAATGACAGGATCTCATTCTTTTTTATGGCTGCATAGTTCTCCACTGTGTATGTGCACCACATTTTCTTTATCCATTTGTCTGTGGACGGACACTTAGGTGGATTCCAGATCTTGGCTGTTGTAAACAGAGCTGCAGTCAACATGGGCATGCAGATACCTCTTTGATGTCCTGATTTCCTTCCTTTTGGCTTGGTTTTATTGATTTTCATTGTTGTGTTTATGTTCCCTGCTTCACTCATGTCTGTCTTGGTCTTTATTATTTCCTTCCTTTCATTCACTTTGGTTTTAATTTGCTCTTCTTTTTCAGGTTTTTTGAAGGTCAAAGCTGAGGTCAGCGATGTGAGACTTTTTCCCCACAGGCATTTAGTGTTACAGAATTTCCCTGTGAATTTTCACCTTTTTGGGTGCTGGGTATTTTGTGTTTCTGTGACATTCTTGGGAAGTAGTTGTTTTGCTGAGCAGAATTAGCTGGGAGCCCTGCCTTCTGCCTGTGGCTGCAGCCTGGTGTCTCGAGGGTCCCGCGCCCCCTCTCGCAGCCTTCTCTGCCCGTCTGTGCTTCACTCGGTCATGCTGACTTGTCTCTTCTGCTGCTCGAGGGACCTCAGTGCTGTGTTTCTTTGGTGGCCTACGTGTTCCTGTGTCCCAGCTACGTTTGGGATTTCTTCTTAGACCTTTGTCATTTATGTGGATTTGAGGAAGGAGAGAGAAGCTTAGGGGTGTGCTCATTTTCCAGCCTCGCACCAGTCTTTCTCGTGAATGTTTTTGTAGAAACATCCAGTCTTTCCATTCTCTCTCACTAGAGGAGGTGTTTCAGAACTACAGAAGGGCTTACCCCATATCCATGGAGATGTTTGCTGTTTCCCCTTATGGCAGTGGTTCTCAAATGGGGGCAGTTTTGTCCCCGGGGACATTTGGCAATATGGGGAGACATTTTTGGTCACACAGTTGGAGGGCGTTTACTTCCAGCATCTGATGGGTCATGGTGGGGGATGCCACAGAGCAGCCTACAGTGCCTGGACAGCGCCACAGCCAAGAATCATCCAGACCAAAATGCTGAAAAAGGCTTCATTTGTATTACCTAACCTATAAAACTTAGGTATCTCCTGGAGTGTGAATAAGAAGGAGAAGGAGATAATATAACCTTGATATAGAACTGTTTGTCTTCAATGTGAGGATTTTTCATGGGTGTTCTTAGGGCATTGAATGGTAGCAGACTTGCATGCAAATTCATTTAAATGGATTATTTTTAAAATACACATTTGGACTTTCAGGAATAACAATCACATGTCTTTGAGACAACCCACTGAACTTACTCAAACGGTTATTTCAATGATATGATAGTTCAGTGTAAATAATTACGTGTATAACGCTTTCTTCAGTAATTATTGCAATTGCAATCTTCATGCAGAACTTAGAACAGTATTTACATTTCTGTTGTGCTTAGACAAGCATAAGAACGACTGCATTTTGATATTTTGTCTCATTTGAAATAAGATAAATGATAGCATGAATTCTTAGCATTACTTCTGGGTCAACCCACAATAATTCTGAATGTAGAAATCTAATTTATTTTGCAAAAGAAAATTCTCTTTTGTCCAGGTAACTGAATAGATCTATGTTGCTCAGAGACAAAGACTATGTGGAAAAGAAACTGAGGACACATTTATTATCGGGGGACCTGCCCCGATAATCACGTAGGTTCTTTTCTATTTTCCTAAGCGTCGGCTGGCTTGAGAAATAAAAGGACAGAGTACAAAAGAGAGAAATTTTAAAGCTGGGTGTCCGGGGGAGACATCACACATTGGTAGGATCCGTGATGCCCCACAAGCCACAAAAACCAGCAAGTCTTTATTAGGGATTTTCAAAAGGGGAGGGAGTATATGAATAGGTGTGGGTGACAGACATCAAGTACTTAACAGGGTAATAGAATATCACAAGGCAAGTGGAGGCACGGCGAGATCACAGGACCACAGGACCGAAGCGAAATTAAAATTGCTAATGAAGTTTTGGGCACCACTGTCATTGATAACATCTTATCAGGAGACAGGGTTTTGAGATCAACCAGTCTGACCAAAATTTATTAGGCAGGAATTTCCTCTTCCTAATAAGCCTGGGAGCGCTATGGGAGACTGGAGTTTATTTCACCTCTGCAATCTCGACCATAAGAGACAGGTACGCCCCGGGGGGGCCAGTTCAGAGACCTACCCCTAGGTGCACATTCTCTTTCTCAGGGACCTTCCATGCTGAGAAAAGGAATTCAGCGATATTTCTCCCATTTGCTTTTGAAAGAAGAGAAATATGGCTCTGTTCCGCCCAGCTCACCGGTGGTCAGAGTTTAAGGTTATCTCTCTTATTCCCTGAACAATTGCTGTCATCCTGTTCTTTTTTCAGGGTGCCCACATTTCATATTGCTCAAACACACATGCTGTACAATTTGTGCAGTTAATGCAATTATTACAGGGTCCTGAGACGATATGCATCCTTCTCGGCTGACAGGATTAAGAGATTAAAGTAAAGACAGGCATAGGAAATCACAAGGGTACTGATTGGGGAAGTGATAAGTGTCCATGAAATCTTTACAATTTATGTTTAGAGACTGCAGTAAAGACAGGCATAAGAAATTACAAAAGTATTAATTTGGGGAACTAATGAATGTCCATAAAATCTTCACAATCCACGTTCTTCTGCCATGGCTTCAGCCGGTCCCTCCGTTTGGGGTCCCTGACTTCCCACAACAATTTATTATTCTCAGGGTCTATATGTAATGGATTCATGTTCCAAGAAGCAACTCTGTATTAAAACATATTATTTTTTATTTCTACTGGGTAATGAATCACTGGCTTTTAGTTAGGGTTTGGGAATGGCTTCTAATTTTTTAAAGTGTGTTTAGCTTTGACAAACCTGATTTTTTTAAATTAAACCCATGAGTCCAATTTGGTTTCATTGTTTATGAGGCTAAACCAGGAGAAATCCCTAGTGTTTTCTTCCATTTCTCCCTTAACTAGCAAGAACACTATGAGATAACTGACATTGCCTGTTACATTGGTAAGGAATCCAGTTTCTAATGTTACAAAATAAAGTGGAGGCAGAATGTGTAAAAATAATCAATATTTGCCTGGCTGTTGGAAACCAAGTTCTAGTTCAGATTTGTCAGTCTCTTTTCTGACCCTGATGAAGTTTGTTCCACCTGTCCCATTTCATCACCCATGAAGGTGACAAATGCCCCGAGGTCTCTCTGTTTCTCAAGGAAAGAGAACACTTGTCTTATTACCAGGCCTTCTGGGTATGGGATGATGAATACCCATCGTGTTTATTTATAAGTAAAGAATTCTAAGTTTTTTTAGTTCAACAAGTTAGGAAATAAGTTTATTATTTAAAAGTAAGTATACACATCATAAAGGTAAAAAGGACCTTCAATCTTATTCAGAGCTTTGCTTCTAGAAATCGTGAAAACTATAAATTATTTTGTCAGTTATTTCTTTTTTCAAACTATGTAAGCCATATGTCTTACCATAGAAAAATTAACAAACAAAATGAAGAAAAGTTGAAAGGTTCAGAGATGGTTGTTATTGACATTTTGGTTTACTTTCCATATTTTCTATGTTCGTAGTCACATATAGGTTCATAATTTATATTAACGAAAATTGATATCTTGTGCCTATTATAATAACTGCAGTATATTATGGTGCTTTCCTTGTCAATCAAATATTCAAAATGTGTTCATAGCCATGAGGTTCCCCATTACATGCGCACACCTCAGTTTATGTACCAGTCTCTTGTTATTGACAACAATGTTCAATTCTCCAGTGATATAAATAATGCTTGGATAAATTACCTCTATTTGAGTACTTAATTATTTCCTTGGAATAGCTCTTTGGACTTAAAATATTTCAAAAGATGTGGAGATTTTTAAAGATCTTCATTGTAAAGTTTTAATATAGTTCTAGGCAAATGTACCTATCTGCCCTCTCACCAATATTATACATGTAACATTTGCTTTTTATTTAATTTTTTAAGTTTTAATTTTTGTGGGTACATAGTAGATGTATATATTTATGACGTACATGAGACATTTTGATACAGGCATGCAATGTGTAATAATCACATCAGGGTCAGTGGGGTATCCATCCCCTCAAGCATTTATCCTTTTTGTTACAAACAATCCAATTATACCCTTTTAGATATTTAAAAATGTACAATTACATTATTAAACTATAGTCACTCCTGTTATGCTGTCAAATATTAGATCTTATTCATTCTTTCCATTTTTTTGGACCCACTAACCATCCCCACTTACTTCCAAGCCCCATGACCCTTCCCAGCCACTGGAGCCATCATTCTACTCTCTATCTCCGTGAGTTAGGTTGTTTTAATTTTTAACATTTGCTTTTAAATTCTTGGTATAGTTCTTGGTTTGGCAGATCATACGTAATTTGCGATTCTATTTATTTAAGTTACGGGTGCTACTGAGTATGTTTCTTCCTTGTTTTCCATCTTTTTTTCTTTTTGGTGCATGCATTGCATGGTCTATTTTCTCATTTCAATATTACTACGATGTTTATTTTATTCTTTTGAAATCAAAACAAGGTATTAACCCTTTTTCCTATATTTACAATTCAAGTATTTTTGTTTCTCATGTTGCCATTTGAGTTATTTTGTTTCATATGTAAGAAGTAAAATTTCTGACTTTGGTGCCTTACTTTAAAAGCCTTTCTTTGCCAACAAACCCTATGTAAACATTCAGCTGTGACTTTTTTTTTTTTTTTTTTTGAGATGAAGTCTTGTTCTGTCACCCAGGCTGGAGGGCAGTGGCACAATCTCAGCTCACTGCAACCTTTGCCTCCCGAGTTCAAGCGATTCTCCTGCCTCAGCCTCCCAAGTAGCTGGCATTACAGGCATGGGCCACCATACCTGGCTAATTTTTTTGTACTTTTAGTAAAGACAGGGTTTCACCATGTTGGCCAGGCTGGTCTTGAACTCCTGACATCAGGTGATCTGCTGGCCTTGGCCTCCCAAAGTGCTGGGATTACAAGCATGAGTCACCACGCCCGGTCCAGCAGTCACTTTTTTTTTTTTTTTTTTTTTAATACTTTAAGTTCTAGGATGCATGTGCACAACATGCAGGTTTGTTACATAGGTATATACATGTGCCATGTTGGTTTGCTGCACCCATCAACTCGTCATTTACATTAGGTATTTCTCCTAATGCTATCCCTACCCCAGCCCCCCATCCCGCAACAGGCCCCAGTGTGTGATGTTCCCTGCCCTGTGTCCAGGTGTTCTCATTGTTCAATTCCTACCTATGAGTGAGAACATGTGGTGTTTGGTTTTCTGTCCTTGTGATAGTTTGCTGAGAATGATGGTTTCCAGCTTCATCCATGTCCCTGCAAAGGACGTGAACTCATCCTTTTTAATGGCTGCATAATATTCCATGGTGTATATGTGCCACATTTTCTTAATCTAGTCTATCATTGATGGACATTTGGGTTGGTTCCAAGTCTTTGCTATTGTTAATAGTGCCACAGTAAACATACATGTGCATGTGTCTTTATAGTAGTATGATTTATAATCCTTTGGGTATATACCCAGTAATTAGATCACTGGGTCAAATGGTATTTCTAGTTCTAGATCCTTAGGAATGGCCACACTGTCTTTCACAATGGTTGAACTAATTTACATTCCCACCAACAGTGTAAAAGTGTTCCTATTTCTCCACAGCCTCGCCCACATCTGTTGTTTCCAGACTTTTTAATAATCACCATGCTGACTGGCGTGAGATGGTATCTCATTGTGATTTTGATTTGCAGTTCTCTAATCAGTGATGATGAGCTTTTTTTCATATGTTTGTTGATTGCATAAATGTCTTCTTTTGAGAAGTGTCTGTTCATGTCCTTTGCCCACTTTTTGATGGGGTTGTTTGTTTTTTTCTTGTAAAATTTGTTTAAGTTCCTTGTAAATTCTGGATATTAGACCTTTGTCAGATGGGTAGATTGCAAAAGTTTTCTCACATTCTGTAGGTTGCCTTTTCACTCTGTTGGTAGTTTCTTTTGCTGTGCAGAAGTTCTTTAGTTTAATTAGATCCCATTTGTCTGTTTTGGCTTTTGTTGCCATTGCTTTTGGTGTTTTAGTCATGACGTCCTTGCCCATGCCTAAGTCCTGAATGGTACTGCCTAGGTTTTCTTCTAGGGTTTTTATGGTTTTAGGTCTAACATTTAAATCTTTAATCCATCTTGAATTAATTTTTATATAAGGTGTAAGGAAGTGATCCAGTTTCCAGCTGTGACATTTTAATTTTATTGTTTACAGTCATTGCCTGCATTCTTCTGGATTCATTTAGGTGTATCTGTAAGTCAAGGCTCTGCTTGTCTCTGCGTCTGATTGGTGAATCCACTGTTGTATTTACTGAGAAGTGATACTATTAAAGTTTTCTAATGTCAGATTATCTTTGTATTTTGGGAAAATGTTAATTGTGGTCATGGGATATCTGCCTGTCACTTTTCTTTTGCACTGATTTTTTTGATAAACACTTATGTTAAAGCTTTATTTCCCTTTTCAGAGTGCCTGTGGAGGAAGTGAGCACAACTGTGTTTGTGTAAGAATGTCAGCTGCAGTAGGCAGCACATGCTGAGAGCCTCTGCTGGTCCCTGACAGGAGACTGTGCTCAGCCTTGGGTGGGAGCTGAGCAGCGAAGACACTGTGGGATCAACTAGGAGGAGAGAGATGGCACGGGGTGTATGGACATGGGGTGGGCTCTTCCTCTTGGGAGTCAGTTCTTTGTAATGGGATGATGGCTACAGGGCCCCTCGTTTCTCTCACAACTCTGGTTTCTCACACAGCACACTGATCTGGATTTCAAATTCATGTAGATGAAGGTGCAAACCCAGTAAACATCTGTGACAAGCACTACATCCTCCCATCATCCCCATGAGCAGCACTGGGGTTGATACAGGGCTTACCTGTCTTCATGCTGTGTTCACAGTGTTTCTAAAAAATGGCAGACATATGATTAAGGCCGATGTCTGAGAGCTCTGTCAGAGTAGTGGTGACATCACCCAATTATTCCTAAGACTTTGGGAAGGCGCACTGGGGGAGTCAGCACTCCAGTACCCATTTCCTGAGAGAATTCAGGCTTTTTGCTGTAACAAATTACCACACACTTCTTGGCTTAAACCATACACATTTATTATCTTAGAGTTCTGGAGGTCGGAAGTCCAACAGGAGTCTTGCTGGGCTAAAATCCGGGTGTCAGCCAGGCCAGCTCCTCTTGAGGTTCTGGGGGGACCTGTTTCTCAGCGTTTCCCAGCTTTGGAGGGTCCTGCCTGCCTTGGCTTGTGGCCCCACCTCCATCTGCAAAGCCAGCAGCAGAGGGTGGGGTGGGGGTGTCTCTGATGCTGCATCTCTGGCTCAAGGTTCTCTGGCTTAAGGATTCTTGTGATTAGAGTGGGCCATGGCTAGTCCAGGATCACCCCTGTCTCATCTCAGGACCCTCGGCTTCTCCCCTTTGCAAAGTCCCTCTGCCACGTGAGGTCACCAGTTCTCAGCTTCTGAAGATCACAGTGTAGACTTCTTTGGGGGTCATTATTCTGCTGCCAGAGGACTTGTTTTTTATTTAAATGTATGCATACCTTTCATCTTTAGAGATTTTTTACCATGAATTTAGACAAAATTTCTGTATTTCCTGGGAAAATAGTTGCAAAGGAAGTTTTTCATCTTTTATCTCAGAACATGACAGGTTGGATTATCCTCTTTGCCATTTTCAAAGTGGTAAAAAAGAAAAAAATTATTTATGGAGCTGGTGGCTCCTCAGTGGGACGAGAATTCGTGCCTTTTCATTGGTGCAGTGGGCTCGCCCTTGTGTGGGACACAAAGAGGCCTGGAGACGTTGCCCAATTCAATCAGTAACCAAGGAGTGGGATTCATTAGGGGAAGCAGAAACCAGGGCTGAATCACGTTCCCAGGCAACTCAGCGTTGCCTAGTACAGCAAGCTCGTCTCAGGATGCGATCCTATTCAGTCATTTTGTGTCTCCACTCATGGAAGAAGCGGAGGAGTAGACCATGGGCTGACGAGTCCCAGTAGAGCAGTGCTGGCTTTTGTGACCCCATACGCCCCTGCCCCTCACGTGGGGCAGAGCCAGTCCTGTATGCCAGCGTGTGGCTGTTTTAATTTGTGGGCTTTAACATGGCAAAATATGAGCCAGACATAAAGACAAGCTGAGAAGTTTAAGCCATTATAGTTCCATGAAGTTCATAATAGGCTCTGAGCAAATGCAGGCCGACGCATGCGCCTGCGTTCCTCAGTGCCACAAGCACATCATTCAGGACATTTTTGATAAACAGAATTAGTGCTATTCAGCTTAAACATTAAGTGCAAATCTCATTGCTGTCTTCCACCTACCTGCACTTTAACTTGTGATTGTTTTAAGAGTGGTTAGATCTTTCTACCTTTAAAACACTCTGTCTTCCTTGACCAAATCAGTGCAAGAAAAGGAAACCTTCTGGGAAATGCAGTCCTGGACCTCCTCCTTGTTGTTAGGGAGGAGGGGGTCAAGTGGGTGCTATGCCCTATTGGGTACTACACTCAGTACCTGAGTGACAGGATCCTATTGGGTACTATGCTTAGTACCTGGATGTCAGGATCATTTGTACCCCAAACCTCAGCCTCATGCAGTATATCCATGTAACAAACCTGCACATGTAACTGTGAACCTACAATAAAGGTTGAAATCGTTTAAAAATAAAAACAAAAACAAACTTTCTAGAATGAGACTTCATTAACCCAAGCAAGGCTGTCACATTGTGTCATGTGTGTATGTGTGCCTGTCTCTGTGTGTGCATGTATGTTAGTGTGCACATGTCTACATTATGTTGGGGTGCACAGGTGCATGCAGGTTACTGCTCACATGTGTGCACGTGTTAGTGTGCATGTACATTGGTGTGCACGTGTGTTAATGTGCATGGGTGTTTGTGGAGGGGGGGCTGCTTTCATATGGATGGAGTTAATGCTCCTCGTCTGGTACTATGCACTGAATTGAATTCACCAAACAACTGAGTAGTGAGGAATAAAACTTTATTTGAAATATTGCCTGCCATTTAAAACATTTACTTTTAAATATATGTTTCTCTTTATATTCTTGAAATATTACCCACTTCTATTCAAATATTATCTGCTTCCAAAATCTAGTAAGCCAACATTTGGGGTTTGAAGTGGCTTTCTCCAGAGACATTGGGAGAAATGAAGTGAAAAATCAAAACGTGACGACATCGCTCCCAGGCCAGGCCCTGTTTTAGATTCCCCACTGTGCTCCACGCCGCCCCCTAGAATGCTCCCCACCCCACCCCTCTCTCCATCCTCCTCTCCCATCTTGACATTTCAGGGTTTTGGTGGTGGCTTTGTAGTCCGTGGTCCCCCGTGCTCCTGTGTCCGGGGGTTCGTTTGTGGCTGGCCCTGCTGACAGGGCTTCTCTCCGCAGTGCAGGTTTTGAGGCACTCTTAAAACGAGTTCTCTTCCTGAACTTCAGGTTTGCTACCTGTGAACTTGGAATTAAATGCTTTTCTCTGTGCTAGGCTGCGTCACCAAATGTCTGAAATACTTAGTTATTAAAGAGTATTTATGGCTGTTAATTTACAGTTAATTCAGGCTTTCCCTTCTCTGGAGTTAATGCTTTCTCCCCGTACCAGCCGGTCTGTGGCACGTTCTTTCGTGTGGGTCCAGGCTCACCGTCGCTGTCTCAGAACTGCTTTCCTGTTACGCTGCCGTAACTGTGATGTTTGTGTATCCATCCCTTCATGTATCAAACGCAGACCTTTTCTCACAGGTTTGGTCATTTTTGGGTGTAAGACACGTTCCTTCCTTGGAAGACTTTTTGTCCATGAGTGTGAATGGATCCGCACTTAACTCAGAATAAATGCCGAGATGTAAAGGACACCCGCAGCCATGGAGCACAGCGGCGGCGCAACAGCTGTGTTGTTCCTGAACGCTTTTTCTCTGGTCTTAAATTTAGACACCGAATCCTGCAGTGTCAGGAAAAGCTGGAGAATGCAGCTGCGGGCCGGGGACTCGGCCGGAAAGCCCCGGCCGCCTCCTGCTTCCAGTGCCCCGCAAGGCTCGGGCGGGAGATGACTGTCCCCGTCCATGTTCTTTCCTGTGGAGTAGACGCTGTGCAGCCATCGGGTGAGAAGATATCGGCTTGGTCCTGGGCCCTGCCTTGCGGGCGTCCGTGGGATAGCAGGTCTTGGGGCGCTGGGCCTTGTCCGGGAAGAGGCACTGGATGGGGCGATGCTCTGTAGGTCCTGCAGGCGCCCTGGCAGGGATGGGGTCCGAGGGCTCCTGTGTGCCAGGCTCCTGAGATCTCCTGGCAAGCGTTCGAGGCCTGGCAGGTGCGGGGGCACACAAGGCTGAGGTTCTGCCGGGGTGACCCTCTGCAGGCCAGCGTCTTGTGGGAATAAAGCCCGAGCTGGAGAACGCGGCCTGTGGGCAGGGGGTGGGGTTGGGGTGCTCCTACTTCCGTTTCCCCGGCCTACAGGCGCTGCCCTTTGACCCTGGAAGGGCTTTGGAGAGAGGGCCCTGCTGGGGCCAGGGCCGCGTTGCTAAGGAGACGAGGGCGTTTCATGTGAACACCACGTTAACAAGCTGCTTATTTAAAGATGGCATCTAACGGAGATCTTTTGTTTCCCTCATCACTTTACCGAAGGACCATACCAGACTCTGCGCTCGTCTCCTTTCATGTTTTGCTTCCGTTCTGCCTCTCCTCGCGTGTCTCTGCCAGCGCACATGCACACACCTGCTGCTGTTCTCCTTAGCAGATCCCACCCTAACATTCTGTGGTAGGAAAACAATGTTCTTCTCTTACTTGGCTAGATAATGTCATGGTTAGAAACACAGATTCTGGAGCCAGATTCCCGGGGTTCGAGTCCTATCTCGACCACGTCCCATCTCCTGGTCAGGGTTAGGGCGCTACCCCCAGCATCTCCATGTTCCCATCTGTGACACGTGGGTGGCAGCGCCTTCCTCCTGGCGGGGATCCCGGGAGCGGATGCGCTCAGGCCTCGGGATCTCGCGGGCCGTGTGCCCAGTGCTGCTGGCATGAGCTCGGCCTGGTGTTCGAGGCAGCCTGGCCAGTCCTCGGACCTGTGCAGCCTGCAGAAGAAGGGGCCGCACCTTGTGGATAAGGAGTGTGTCATTCATCTTTGTGTTCCAGCCACTTTTCGTGGTTCCTGACTCATAATAAATGTTTCATTGAATTTATTAAACACCAGTTTTGACCAAGACTCCAAACTGAAGCACGATGAGAATACTAGAGAATGTAATGTTAAAAAATTATTTCTCAGAATCCTTCTTTTCAACATTTTTATAGCGTGTTCATCACCATCCCTAGTTTAGTAAGTAGCGGTGCAGACGTGTTTTTATTTGCCTGCCTGACCTAAGGCCGTGCTCAGGCCGCAGGCAGCGGTCTCTGGTCCATCCTGGCTTCCCAGGCTGGCTGCTGTGTTGGGCGCCTTGTAGAAATTTGTTTGTGTGTATGTGTGTGTGTGTGTGTGTGTGTATATAATATGTATATATAAATATATATAAAATATATAATTTTTTTTTTAGACGGAGTCTCACTCTGTTGCCCAGGCTGGAGTGCAGTGGTGCGATCTCAGCTCACTGCAACTTCTGCCTCCCGGGTTCAAGCAATTCTCCTGCCTCATCCTCCTGAGTAGCTGGGATTACAGGCATGCATCACCACGCCCGGCTAGTTGTTTTTTGTTTTTTTTTTTTTCTTTTTTAAGTAGAGAGGGGGTTTCGCCATGTTGGCCAGGCTGCTCCTGAGCTCAAGTGATCTGCCTGCCTTGGCCTCCCAAAGTGCTGGGGTTACAGGCGTGAGCCACTGTGCCCAGCCTGAAATTTATATATATTAATATTTGGTAAACAAATGTTAAATTAGCTACTCTGTGTGGATCCTGTAGTGTGGACGATGGTGGAAATTGAATTAAATTTATGCAGACTCCTGATGATGTCCTAAACATACTTTACAATAATTTAAGGGATGCTGGCATCGTACTTCTTGTCTTTCCCCTCCCTTTGTTCCTTTTAAGTTCTTAATGTTTTTAAAATGAAAAGTGGTCAGAACCTTTTCCTCTTTCAGCATAACGACTTCATTGTGTTTAGGAATCTCATGGTTAAAACCTAAGAGAAATCAGCTACTCCATTCACACAAATCCTTATTCACTTGTTCTGGGATGTGGTCTTGGCATCAGTATTTTATTTTTTTATTATATTTTATTTTATTTTAATTTTATTTTTAGTGCTCCCTGAAAAATTTCATTGTACAGCCAGGGTTGTGAACCACTACTGTACATTGATAATATATGGGTCTTCAGGAATTTCAATTAATCCATAATATACATTGTTTGATAAGCTTTAAAATAAAAAATATTAATTATAGATCCAGTGGATTTCCCTTTCTAGCTTGGACAAGTGCTCAGGGACACCAAAAAAAGGGAAAAGCTCTTGTACATTTTTTTTTTACTCCTGACTATATTGTCATGTTAATGCAATTAAACTTCTTTTACTGCAAACAGGGATCCCTTAAGACTCAAAAGAACAAGTAATGAAGAACTTTCTTTAATGAGAGAAAAAGAGCCTTCTTGCTTGCACATCATGGCTGACGGCAGAAAGAAGTAAAGGCAATTAATTAAAGCTGGACTGTGATTCCCCTGCTGGTGACTTCCTGGGGAGCGAGAGCATGTCTGTGGTTATGACAAACAGCATCTGAAATGGCGAGGTGCTGCCTTTAGCAAATCTGTAAGCAGAAGTTCATCACAGTGATTAGATGCTCAAAATTCTCATCAGTGAGGTTACCTGTTATTTTGTTAAATCAGGAAAAGCCACATATGACCACAGTGGGATATCACCTCACACCTGTTAGGATGGCTGTTACTGAAAACCAAAAGAAAACAAGTGTTGGTGAGGAGGGGGAGAAAAGGGAACCCTAGTGCTCTGTTGGTGGGAATGTAAATTAGAGTAGCAATTATGAAAACAGTATGCAGGTTCCTAAAAAAAATAGAAATAGAACTACCATGTGATCCAGCCGTCCCACTTCTTGGCACAAATCCAAAGGAATTGCACTCAGTGTGTTGAGATGTCTGCATTCCTATGTTCACTGCAGCATTATTTATAGTAGCCAAGATATAGAATCATTCTAGATGTCTAACAACAGGTGAATGGATAAAATGTGCTGATATAGATGCACAATGGAATACTATTGAGCCTTTAAAAAGACAAAGACATTTCTGTCATTTGGAGGAATCTGGAGGACTTTATGCTGAGCGAAATAAGCCAGGCGCAGAAAGACAAATGCCACCTGTGCTCACTTATATGTGGAATCTAAAACATTGAGCTCACAGAAGCAGAGAGTACCATGGTGGTTCCCAGGCCTGGTCTTAGGATGGATGGGAAGAGTCTGGCCAAAGGGTACAGAAGTTTGGTTGTGAGATGAATCACCACCTCGGTGAAAAACAGGATGGTGCCACCTGTCCCTCTGTGTGCCTCGTCCTGGTCAGCACCCTTGCTCCCACCCTAAGTGCCCCTGTCCTGATGCTCATGATTATGACTTCTTCATGTTTATTCACCGTTTCATCACCCACATGGGCATTCCCTGCCTCTGCAGCTCAGCCTTCAGATCTGTCTCCACTGAGATGCCTTTTAGGTCTCTTTTGATCCACGGCCTCTTCTCCTGCTCCTCTTTCCCCAGGCCGTTTGGCCTGTACGTCTCCCCACACTCTGGGTTCTGCAAGCGCATCTACACGGTGCACACCTGCATGTCTCCGTACACTCTGGATTGTGTGAGCGCGTCCACACGGTGCACGCCTGCACGTCTCCCCACACTCTGGATTCTGCGAGCGCGTCCACACGGTGCACGCCTGCACGTCTCCCCACACTCTGGATTCTGCGAGCGCGTCCACACGGTGCACGCCTGCACGTCTCCCCACACTCTGGATTCTGCGAGCGCGTCCACACGGTGCACGCCTGCACGTCTCCCCACACTCTGGATTCTGCGAGCGCGTCCACACGGTGCACGCCTGCACGTCTCCCCACACTCTGGATTCTGCGAGCGCGTCCACACGGTGCACGCCTGCACGTCTCCCCACACTCTGGATTCTGCGAGCGCGTCCACACGGTGCACGCCTGCACGTCTCCCCACACTTTGGATTCTGCGAGCGCGTCTACACGGTGCACGCCTGCACGTTTCCCTACACTCTGGATTCTGCGAGCGCGTCCACATGGTGCACGCCTGCACTTTTCCCCACACTCTGGATTCTGGGAGCGCGTCTACACGGTACATGCCTGCACGTCTCCCTACACTCTGGATTCTGCGAGCGCGTCCACACGGTGCACGCCTGCACGTCTCCCCACACTCTGGATTCTGCGAGCGCGTCCACACGGTGCACGCCTGCACGTCTCCCCACACTCTGGATTCTGCGAGCGCGTCCACACGGTGCACGCCTGCATGTCTCCCTACACTCTGGATTCTGCGAGCGCGTCCACACGGTGCACACCTGTATGTCTCCCTACACTCTGGATTCTGTGAGTGCATTTACACGGTGCACGCCTGCACGTTTCCCCACACTCTGGATTCTGCGAGCGCGTCTACACGGTACATGCCTGCACGTCTCCCCACACTCTCGATTCTGTGAACACGTCTACATGGGGCACATCGTGCATTCGTCTGTGTTTTCAGCCTTGGCAGCTGGATCCAGAGACTGGATCCCCTTGTGTATTCTGTTTGGCAGGACTCAGCAGTGGCTGTGCCCTTTCATCCAGGGACGCTGTGTCTAGCTCTCACTCTCTGGTGATGTCAGAAAGTATTGACTGATGAGAGCCTAGGCCCATTAATTCACTAGGAGTTGGGGAGTGGTAATATTTTGATTTTACCTTTTATTTCTCATATATAAATTGAACTTGTTTCTATAAAACAACAGCCCTTCATCTATTTCATTATGAAATGGAGCAGTTCATATGGAAAAGGCAAGATAAATCCTCGATTCTTCCCCTGAATTTAAAAGTTATCAAGGAATGAATTGGTTTATCTCACCCTCCAAAGAGGACCAATTCATTAAAACGGTTATGATGAACTCATGCATGGCGCACGTTTGGCATCTCAGTGCATTGTGATGGTCGCTCATCCTGACGCTCACACTTGTCCATCTTTGGCCAGTGGGGGCCTCTTCACTTGGCTCTGAGTCCTTGGGACACAACCCTGGCAGCCTTTCGTAGATGTTCATGTTGCCCATATTCTGTCCCAGACTTGGAATTATCTGTTATCTAAGGAACTCTGCTGTTTAGTGAAACTGGCATTTCAAGAACACGACCCGGTTACTAGGGGTGTACGTTGCTACATGAAGGTCATTGTTTCTAGACCCTTGTAAGGCAGAGCTAGAAATACATGT
This sequence comes from Homo sapiens, assembly GCF_000001405.40. Classification (NCBI taxonomy): domain Eukaryota; kingdom Metazoa; phylum Chordata; class Mammalia; order Primates; family Hominidae; genus Homo; species Homo sapiens. Next base: position 125,542 of record NT_187572.1, read on the forward strand.
GATTTTTTTTTTGAGATGAGGTCTTGCTATATTGCCCAGGGTGGAGTGCAGTGGCCATTCACAGGTGTGATCTTGGGTCACTGCAGCCTTGAACTCCTGGGCTCAAGCGATTCTCCTGCCTCAGCCTCTGAGTAGCTGGGACCGCAGGTGCCGCCCCCCACACCCGGCAGCAGGTGAGTTTTTGAAGACTAACCGTCACATGAATTAATACTGATACTTCCAATTTGAACTTAGGAATTTGGAATACTTTTTACTATGGCTATTTCATATCACATTTGTGTCTCTTGTTTTCCATGCTAGGTATCCTGATTCTCGAGAGCACAGGATATAATAGAGTTACAGCAGTCCATAATTAAACATTTCCTCTATCCTACATCATGTGCCTGGCAGTCTTAACATAACGATTTGGACACTGCCACCAGTGTGACTACGGAAGACACCAAGTACCTTTCTCACATGCTCCCCTGTGTCCTGCATTTTTAATGCCATAATATATTGGCATTGTCAGAGCAGATCCATTAAATTCTGCATTCTTTCCCTTCTGGTAATCACTTAGGGTTCTATGAGTAGCCACATGTTTACTCCTAACTACTCGTCCTTAGGTCGCCATCTCTCTAGTCCTTGTGGTTCTCTGGAGTTTGTTGTCTAGAACTTTCTTCAAAACATATTCATGGGAACAATACTCCTTGAGCGATTGTACGTTGCTGTCAGTTTTTCTGTGTCCTTTATACCTGAAGACCAGGTTTGCTGCGTATGCAATGATTGGCTTATATTTACTTTCCTGGCATATCTTAAAGATGTTATTCTGTATTCCCCTAACCTAACACAATGCTGTTGAACAGGCACGTGCTTGAATCTGTTTCCCTTAAAAGTAACTCATCTTTCTGTCTCAACGCCAGAGGACTTTTACTCTCTTTATTGCTCAGTAACGGTATTATTATGTGCCTTGGTGGTCATCGTTCTGATTTAATTTCTCTGGTACATGGTCGTTCTTTCAATATGTAGTCAAACTTTTAAGTTTTCAGGGAACGTTTACGAATTATAGCTTCTAACATTTTGTTCTCTTCTGCTGCTCTGATTTTCACTTTTAGAGATTCTTATTATCTGTTCTTTCTGTTTTGCCTGTCTAATATTTGCAACTTCATTTTTTGGGGATTTTCTTCTTTTTTCAACCTTATATTTTTCTTAATGCATCATTTGTGATTATTCATTCTTGTTTCCTCTATTTTATTCTTCATTTCTGAAATGAGCTGTCATTTATTTCTAAACGTTTTTCCCTGAGTTCTGTTGCTTCAGCTTTAAGTTTTTCTAATTCTGATTTACATTGTTCTTTTCTGCCTTATGTAATCTTCTTAGTGTCTTCCAGCTTGTTTTACAGCAGCCGGTGGTAGTTTTGACTCACTTTGTGGATGTGCCTCTCTGGCGGGCTTTCGCTCACTTTATGGATGTACCTCTGGCGGGCTTTCGTTGTGTGCAGGCAGGGGTGTTATTCGGCTTTTTTGTTTTCTGTAATAATTTTTATTGGATTGATTTGACCAGGATGATAGCTTTCTGTTGCTTATTTTTATGTGATCTTAATGTAGGTGAACTTTGGGAAGAAAGCAGAATCCGGGAGAGCTTTTCCGACTTCCTAGAGCTCTCCCTTCTGTCGTTTTCATGTGAAGTTAAGAAGGTGGCAGTTTGACTTCTGAGATTTCCTGGCTCTGTTCCCTGCCCCTGGTTTTATTGACGTGTTTTTCCCTCAGTCCTATTATCATCTCAGGGTGAGAGCCTTTCCTGGAAGGGCGGTGTGGCTGATCAGCATCAGGAGTTCACGGGGGCTGTCTTTACGGGGAGACCCCTCTGCACACTGACTGCTGGTGGGCAAATCCCCTTCCGGCTTTGGGGCCTGGCTTGGGCCACTGTGCATGGTGTGGAGTGGGCACCACGGCCTCTCCTGGGGTTCCACCGGGCCTGGCCTGTCCCTCACCAGCCACTGCCCCTCTGTCCTTGGACACGGACGCCACGTAGATCCTGGGGCACTTCCCCGTATTTTGCACTCCCTGGGCTGTCTGGTCACCTGGTTGCTGTAAATGGTTTTTGGGTTTTGCTATCTTGTTGCTTTGTGTGATGTGATGTGTGATATGATTGGTCTGGGAGGATTGAAAGCTGTGTCGCTGCATTCACCACATTCCTCACGCAGAGTAGTTGTAAAGGAGGATTTAAAAAGAAAGCCTTAGACTTTCTGTCACTGTGTCCTCGCTACATGATATCTTTACATTTCTTCACGGGTATTAAGTTGTCAATAAGAGTAACTGTACGGAAAACATATGTTTAAGTCATTGAAGTTTATCTGGCTTGTTTTAGACACACTTTAATGGATTACTTAGGGGATTAAATATTTTAAAACATTGGTAGTATGTTTTAATGTGTCAGATGTAAATTATTTTGTAAATGACTTTTGACATTTAATAGTACCTGTTGCCAAAAATGTTTTTGATATGGAGTGCTCTACTAATTTTTTTCATTTGTTTAACATATTTTTGTTTACTTTGTGGTTCACAGTGAAGAGTATTCGTCAGCTCTGCCATTGCAGTGAATGAGTTAGAAAGGAAGTGTGTTTGTGAGAGTGAGGAATTAGTAATTTCTCTATTAGGAAGTGAAGCTGAATCAAAATGGTAGGGATGGCTCATGTATACATTGATTTACTTTTTTTAAAAAGACATTTTTATTGAACTGTAACATACCTGCAAAAAGTTATGCCAGTTGTTAAGTTCACAGCCACTCAGTTTTCATGAAGGGAGCACAGCCTTCTGCTCAGCAGCCAGATCAACAAAGAAATATTGGTAGACGACAGTCTCGATTGACCCCCTTTCCAGCCGTGCTGTCCTTCCTCACCCATCAAGGATGAACAAGGAAGTACTGGTAGACTACAGTCTCTCTCGACCCCCTTTCCAGCCATGCTGTCCTTCGTCGCCCATCAAGGATCAATAAGGTAGTACTGGTAGACTACGGTCTCTCTTGACCCCCTTCCCAGCCATGCTGTCCTTCCTCGCCTATCAAGGATCCCCACTATGGGGACTCCAAACCACATGGATTAGTTTTGCTTGTATTTCAACCTCATATACATGAAACTGTACAGTAAATGTTATCTTTTATTAACAAATTTACTTATCTGTAACTCATATACTGTGCAGTTGACCTGTTTAAAGTACACAATTCAATGGCTTTAGCATCTCCCAAAGAAACCCCACCTATCTTAGCCATCCTCTCTTCCCCTGCCTCCTCCCCAGGCCAGGCCTGGCCACCACAAATCCACTTCTGTCTCGGTTGATTACCATGCTCTGGACATTTCGTGTAAACAGAATCATACAATATATGGACTTCTGTGACTGACTTCTTTCACTTAGCATAATGTTTTAAGGTTCGTCCATGTCATGTCAGGTATTTTCTTTTTATTGCTGAATGACATTCATTTGTACAGATATACCACATTTTATTTATCCAGTCATCAGTTGAAAGCTTTTGGGTTGTGTACACTGATTGTTGTGAATAATTCTGCTGTGCATATTTGTGCACAACTTTTTGCGTGAACATATGTCTTTATTTCTCTTGGGTATATACCTAGGAGTGGAATTGTTTGAACATTTTCAGGACGTTTCAGACTGTTTTCCAAAGTTGCAGCATGAGTTTACGTTTCTGCCAGTCGTATAGGAGGGTTCTGATTTCATCAGATCCTCACCAGCACTTGTTATTTGGCTTTTTTATTCTATCCATCCTAAGTGGTGTGAAGGGTATGGTATTGTGGTATTTTAGGGTATGGTGTTGTGGTTATGATTTGCATTTCTCCAATGGCTAATGATGTTGAACATCTTTCCATGTGCTTGTTGGCTGTTTGTATATCTCCTTTGGGAGAAATATCTATTAAGATCCTTTGCCCATTTTAAACTAGGTTATTTGTCTATTATTGGATAGTGAGGATTTATGTATTCTAGATACAAGTCCTTATCAGACGTATGACCTGCAAATAATTTCTTCCCATTCTATAGGGTGTGTTTTCACCTTCACTTTTCTTGATGGTGTTCTTTGAAGCATAGATGTTTTAAATTTTGATGATATCCAGTTTATTTCTTTTTTTGCTGCTTGTGCTTTTGATGTTGTATTTAAGATACCATTGCCTAATCAAGGTCATGAAGATTTATGCTGTTTTCTTTTAAGAGTTTTATATACCTTTTGCTGTTACATTTAGGTCTTTGATCCATTTTGCATTGATGTTTGCATATGGTGTGAGGAAGGGATCCAACTTCTTTCTTTGGCATTTGGCTGTCCAGCTTTCCTGGTACCATCTGTGGAAAAGACTGTTCTTTCATAATTGAATTGTCTTGGCACCCTTGTCAAAAATCAATTGTCCAGAGACGTATGAGTTTCTTCGTAAACGTTTGTTATTTGTGTTTGAAAATAATACTTATACACACTTACGGAGTACAATGTGATGTTTTAATACATGTATAAATTGCATAATGGGTAAATAAGGGCAGTTAGCACATCTATTACCTCAAACATTGACCATTTCTTTGTGATGAGTACATTCAAAAACCTCTGTTTTAGCTATTTTGAAATAAATAATACATTATTGTTAACTCCAGTCATTCCACTGTGCAACAGACCACCAGAACTTAGTCTTCCTATCTAACTGTAGCTTTGTGCTATTGACCTTCCTTTTGCCATCTCCTCCTCCCACACTCTTACCCAACCTCTGGTAACCACAATTCTACTCTCTACTTCTGTGAGATTGGCTTTCTGAGATTCTGCACGTGAGTGAGATCATGTGGTGTTGGCCTTTCTGTGCCTGGCTCTCTTCACTTAACATATGTCCTTTATATTCATCCATGTTGCCCAAAGTGAAAGGATTCCACTTTTATGGCTGAATAGTATTCCACTGTCTATAAGTACAATATTTTCTTTATCCATTCATCTTTTGGCGTGTGACAGTTGGGTTGGTCCCATATCTTGGATATGATGAATAGTGCTGCAGTGAACATGATAGTGCAGAGATCTCTTTGACACTAACTTTATTTCCTTTTGATAATACCCAGTAGCAGGATTGCTGGATCATATGGTAGTTGTATTTTTAATTTTTTTTAGGAACCTTGATACTGTTTTCCATTCCCACCAGCAGCACTAGTGTTTTCTTTCCTCCACATCCTTCCTGACATGTTTGTCTTTTTGGTAATAGCCATTCTAATTGGGATGAGGTGATATCTCACTGTAGTTCTGGTTTGCATTTTCCCAGTGATGAGTGATGTTGAGCACATCCATGTCTGGCTTGCTCTTGTTTTGTTTAGGGTTATTCTATCCATCTTCAGACATGATACTAGCCTGTAATTCTTGCTTCTCCTGTTTTTCTTGTTAGGGTTTACTACTAAGCTTATATATCCTTATAAAATGAGTTGTAAAATGGTGCTTTTGATTACTGTGGAATAGTTTTTGTACAGTTGGAATTCTTTTACCTTACATATTTGGCTGAACTTGCCATTAAAAACACATGGGCCTGGGTGTTTTCTTTGTGGAAAGATTTTAAACCACTGATTCAATAACTGTTATGGTTATAGGAATATTCAGGTTTTCTGCTGCTTCTTGACACAATTCAGGAAAATGTTGTTTTTTCTGAACTTTTCCATATTATCTTAGTTTTCAGATATACTGGCCAAAGTTCACAGTGTTTCTTTTGATCTATTTAATCTTTGCACTGTTTTTACTTATGTTTCCCTTTTCATTGATACCGGCTATTAGTGTTTTATTTTTAATTTTTGACTAAAATTAAAAAGTTTTAATATCAGTGTAATTGAGATATATTTTACACTTTTTTTCCCTTCTTTTTCATGTAACTCTGACCAGAATTTTAAAATGATCTTTTTGATTGGATTATCTTGATTGTGTACTTTTTTCTTTTCTTTTTTTTTCTTTTTGAGACAAGGTCTCGCTCTGTCACCCAGGCTGGAGTGCAAGTGGAATGATCTCAGCTCACTGCAGCCCTGCCTCCTGAGTTCCAGCAGTTCTCCCACCTCAGCCTCCAGAGTAGCTGGGACTATAGGCGCACGCAACCACACCTGGCTAATTTTTGTAATTTTAGTAGAGACAGGGTTTCACCATGTTGGCCAGGCTGGTCTCAAAGTCTTAGCCTCAAGTGATCCGCCTACCTCGGCCTCCCAAAGTGCTGGCATTACACAGGCTTGAGTCACTGCGCCTGGCCTTTGACTGTGGACTTTTTCCTATTTAATTTCTATGAATTTCTGCTCCTGTCTTTATTATTTTTTTCCCCTTTACTTTCTTCTGTTCGGTGGTTCTTATTTTGACTTTTAGCTTGGATGCTTGCTTGCGTGTTTGTTTATACTTTGATTTAGACTTAATGTGAATATTAAAGGGGTAAACACTTCTGCTAAGATCTTGTTTAGTGGCACCTGCAAGTGTGGGCCTGTTACTCTTCAGTTCTGTGTTTCCTGTTGCCCTGCTCCCAGCCACAGGCACCTGCCTGCCTGTTCTCTGTCTGTCGTGTTTCCTTTTCCAAAATGTGACATAGATGGAGTTTACCAGAGGCAACCTTGAGACACTGGCTTCTTCCAGTTCGCACGATGTATTATAGACTTATCTATATTGCTATATGAATCAATAGTTGATTTTTATAAATTGCTGAGTAGTATTCCAGTATAGGATCGTGTGGTGTGTGTTCCAATATAGAAACGTGCGGTGCCTGTTCCAGTATAGGATCGTGCGGTGCGTGTTCCAGTATAGGAACGTGCGGTGCCTGTTCCAGTGTAGGGTCGTGCGGTGCGTGTTCCAGTGTAGGGTCGTGCGGTGCCTGTTCCAGTGTAGGGTCGTGCGGTGCGTGTTCCAGTGTAGGGTCGTGCGGTGCGTGTTCCAGTGTAGGGTCGTGCGGTGCGTGTTCCAGTGTAGGGTCGTGCGGTGCGTGTTCCAGTGTAGGGTCGTGCGGTGCGTGTTCCAGTGTAGGGTCGTGCGGTGCGTGTTCCAGTGTAGGGTCGTGCGGTGCGTGTTCCAGTGTAGGGTCGTGCGGTGCGTGTTCCAGTGTAGGGTCGTGCGGTGCGTGTTCCAGTGTAGGGTCGTGCGGTGCGTGTTCCAGTGTAGGGTCGTGCGGTGCGTGTTCCAGTGTAGGGTCGTGCGGTGCGTGTTCCAGTGTAGGGTCGTGCGGTGCGTGTTCCAGTGTAGGGTCGTGCGGTGCGTGTTCCAGTGTAGGAACGTGCCAGGGTTTGTTCCAGTCTAGGATCTTGTGATGTGTGTTCCAGCATAGGATCGCGCGGTGTCTGTTCCAGCATAGGAACGCGCGGTGCCTGTTCCAGCATAGGAACGCGCGGTGCCTGTTCCAGCATAGGAACGCGCGGTGCCTGTTCCAGCATAGGATCGTGAGGTGCCTGTTCCAGCATAGGATCGTGAGGTGCCTGTTCCAGTATAGGAATGTGCGGTGCCTGTTCCAGTATAGGATGTGCCGTGTCTGTTCCAGTATAGAATCTTGTGGTGCATGTTCCAGTATAGGAATGTGCAGTGTCTGTTCTGGTATAGGATCATGTGATGTGTGTTCCAGTATAGGAACATGCCAGGGTTTGTTCCAGTCTAGGATCTTGTGGTGCATGTTCCAGTATAGGAACACGTGGTGTGTGTTCCAGCATAGGATCGCGTGGTGCACGTTGCAGCATAGGATCACACAGAGTCTGTTCCAGTATAGGAACGTGCCCATGTTCCAGTACAGGAACGAGCCGGTGTTTCTATGGATTCATTTGCTGAAAGCACTGGAGCTGTTTCCAGGTTCTGGCAGTGATGAATGAACTACTGTAAATACTGAGCGCAGGAGTTTTTGTGGAAATTGGGTTCATATTTCACTTGGGCATTTAGTTCGATGCCTGGGATGGGAGTGGCTGTGTCAATGGTAGTGTATGTTTAACTTTATGAGAAGCTGCCAAGCTGCTTTCCAAACTGACTGCCCTTTTGGGTTTCTACCAGCCTTGCCCGAAGGTTCCAGCGGTGCAACATCCTTCCAGGACCCCTGTAGCCTGGGCTAATGGTCTCCCAGCCGTCCTAATAGTGGAGAGTTGTATCTCTTTCAAGGTTTTACTGCATTTCCCCTGATAACTGATGACATAGGAACTTTTATCATGTGCCTGCTTTCCATCTTTACTCTTCCATGAAATGTCTGTTCAAATCTTTTTCTCACTTAAAAAAGCTAGGTTGCCCGGGCACGGTGGCTCACACCTGAAATCCCAGCACTTTGGGAGGCCAAGGTGGGCCAGGAGTTCCAAACCAGCCTGGCCAACATGGTGAAACCCCATCTCTACTAAAAATACAAACATTAGCTGGGCCTGGTGCTGTGGGCCTGTAATTCCAGCTACTTGGGAGGCTGAGGCAGGAGAATTGCTTGAACCTGGGAGGCAGAGGTTGCAGTGAGCTGAGATTGTGCCACGCACTCCAGCCTGGGCAACAGAAGGAGACTGTCTAAAAAAAAAAAAAAAAAAACTAGGTTGTTTGTATTTTAATGTTTGGTTTTGAGACTTCCCTCTGTATTCTGGGTCTGAGTCCCCTGTCAGATGTGACATTTGCAGATATATCTCCCCCACCTTTGCGTTGTCTTTTCATTTTCTTAACAGTGTGTCAAAACAGTGTTTTGAATAATAGAATATTTTAATTTTCATAATGTCCAGTTTATCACATTTTTAAATGCATTGTGCTTTTGGAGTTTATCTCAAAGCAATTTTTTGAACCTTCCACCTGTTGCTACAAGTTAAAAGTTACGCTGCCTCTTGAAAGATTTCTGCACTTTGTGCAGAAATTTTATTTCCAATTTACAATGTATTTTAAGAAAAAAAATCATCAAATTTGCTTTTAAGTGTTTTTATTGTTTCACAGAAAGCTTTAAATTAATTCTTAATAAGAATATTTTGGAATAGGGAAACACTTCTTTTCACAATTTGTCAGAGTATGTATCTATGTTTATGTATATTTGTGTGTCTGTGTGTATGAAATGAGGCTGTTGCTTGAATAGCCCAATTAAATGTTGGCATGCTTTATTTTACCTAGAAGAAAATTAGACCCCAGAAAGCAATATATGCATTATTGGCCTTTATGTATTTTAGAATTATTTTATAATAGCATGAAATTTTAAATGTTGCGAAACTATCTGGCTACTATTAGGCTAATCCTGAAAGTATGCCACAGTGTTGTAATGCACTGTGATTGTCTCAATTTTCCTAAAATAATAGTTAAAATTTTTTTTTTCACTTTAAAGAATTCAGAGGTAAGTTAGTAAAGTTTGGTAACAAATTTTTCTCACAAAATATTGTCTTTCACTCTCTCTGTTTTCACTTTTGAAATAGCCAAGATTCACACCTTAGAAAATGCTGCAAAGAGGCCATGTACAGAGCTATGTGATGAACAAGTAGAGACGCAGCAAAAGATGAAAGATGCACTGTCCAGATGGAGTTCTCTGTATCAAAACAACATGTTTTTAACATATGATTTTTCTGTTTGTTTGTGCCATAGGTGTTTGCTGTTGAGAGAAGACTTTTCTGTATGTAGATGCACAAGTGCCATGTGTTACAGTTGTCTTTGGTGTTCAGTATAGTCACACACTGTGCAGGTGTGCAGCCCGGGAGCTGTGGGCTGTGCCATTCAACCCAGGGGTGTGGTAGAACGCACCATCCAGGTGTGTGTGAGTACAGTCTGATGTTCGCACCCTGACAAAGTCGCCTGGTGACGCATGTCTCAGGACGTAGCCCCATTGCTAAGCGACGTATGACTGACTGTGTTTTCTTATCACGTCAGTGTTGTGTTACCTGTGAGCGACATGTAAGCTCATCGCTGCTTTGGAATGGGTGCTGCTATTTCCCTGCTACTAGGTAATTTAAAATAATGTGTTAATAGGAAGCACCTATGTTAGTATATTATGATGAAGACTATTTGATCATTTCAGTATAATTTTTTGTGTATTTTATTGTGTACATTTACAAACACCGTTCTGAGATTAGTTCCTGGGATTTGTGGACTAGTCAGTTCAGCCTCTGTTCAAAAAACTTGTCACATTTATTTATCCAGCTGCCGAATTGCTCAGATCAAGTGCCAGAAAGCATGCAGTTTTGTGTGATTTGTGGCTATGGATAGGGGCATAGATTTCCTCCCTCATTTAACACGATTCACGGAGACCACGCCACGTGCCCCGCAGCCTGCTAGATGCCAGGAACCACACTCGGAGCTGGGAAGCAGTGACTGTTCCGTGACTGCTGGGTGGCGGGAGCTGCAGGGGGCCCCCGCTGCGTTTCCCTCTCACCTTCACTAATACCTGGAGCTGTCTTTATTATTACTCCTCTCTTATTAGCGAGGACACTGGTCTTGGGAAGGTGCAGTGACTTGGTCAGGGCACTCAGCTAGTGGGCGGCGGTCCTGGGACTCAGCCCCTAAACCCAAGCTCCCACCTGCCCTGTGGACAACAAAGGCATGCAGCCTCCTGCCAGCTGTGAGAATTGGCTTTGGTGTAAATTTTGATTTCCTCTTATGTGTGTGCAGAGATTTTGAGAAGGGACACATTGGAAGCTAAAAAAAAAACATGTCAAAAACAGTTTAAAGAATTGCTCTGAGGGATAGGAAATCTGTCTCTCTCACCTTTCTCTGTCTTGGTGGATGACACAGACTTCCGTGTCCCCTCTCCCTGCACGTGGATCTGGAGGCCACAGGCCTGGGGCTCTGCCTCCTGTCTCCACTGAGCTGTCATGAAACCACAGTAGCCTCCTGTTTGAAATCTGAGATTGGCTTTTCACACGTGATCTTCAGTTTTCCAGATGGAAGAAAGAACACTAATGGCAAATCCAATGAAACCATCATGATTCTTTTGTCCGTCTTTTATCTGCTCATCAGCTGTAAATTGTAATGAATTATTAGCTTGATTTTACTCAAGATTCTGTGGGTCATTTTCCTCTTTCTCTTGCCAGCTTAATCGATTGTCTGATTGTGGTAAATGAGCAAATCAACATCTCTCAGCCTCGTGGGCTTTTGTATAAATTGCGGACAGAGTGTTATGTTCCCAGTAGACGGGATTTGTACTGATTATGTTCGCAGATGTCATGCTAACACCTTGGCTACTTCAACGTTTCTGTAAAGGGTAAAATATCCACCCAAACCCAGCAAGGCTGAGTGCATTCTCGGGCGAGTGTTTCCTTGGGAAATCTAAGTAGCACAGTTTCATTCTGAATGACAACGTCCTTGATGTAGAATTACTGTTGCTTCACAAAAGGACCTCATTTACCTTTGTGCTGTTTTTGTTTATGGATCCCCTGGCCGATTCCGTTATTTCTGCAACAGATTTTGGTAAAACTGGCTGTTCTTATGTGCAGCATGACGCTGGATCTTCGCAGATGGGTCAGACTGGCTGCTTTGGGGCAGTGGGCTTTGTAGTGACACATTAAATAGTTACAGATACTTTAGGAGCAAAAGAGGAAATTCAGTGCTTAGTTTATAATAGCTGGGTGCTAGAGTATGAGTCTAACATTGCACTTAGGTGTGTGTTGGGGTCCCCAAGAGTACCCACAGTTCCGTGATTCACTGGGAGCACTCCCAGGGCTCGGCACAGCTGCAGGACAGCTGTGAGTTGTTACAGAGAAAGGACGCGGAGCATGGTCATCAGAGGGAGAAGGTGGAGGAGGGAGGTCCAGGGAAACGAGATGGAAGCTTCCAGAGCTGTTCCCCACAGAGTCCCAGGAGGGGCTTGGTTCTGCCAGTATCAAGCTGTGACCACGCATGTCGTCCAACAGGAAGCTTGTGAGAGACACGGTGCCCAGGGTTGTGCTGGGGTCTGCTCAGATAGACAGCCCTGCCAGCAGGAGAGCAGGTGTGTGGTATAAACATCATCTGCACAGATGGCTTAGGTACAGGATGCCCCTCATCAGTTAGGGAATGATGGGGATCCCCCACGACATCCAAGTTCTCAGATGAAGCCCAGGGCCAGACTCACCCCTCATCAGTTAGGGAATGGTGGGACCCCCCACGACATCCAAGTTCTCAGATATAGCCCAGGGCCAGCCTCGCAAGCAGCCGTTCTAGGGAGCAGTCTCAGGCCTGCAGCCACACCGCCCCGTGCACAGGCTTAACTACTTTAAATCACTGGAGGATGTGTTTGTCATTTAATTTAATAAGAATTCAGTATTCATGCCCTGATTGCTAGGGACTGAACCAGGGCATTACAGAAACAAGGCAGTTTTCTCTTTATGTTGATTCTCTCTGTGGTGGGCTGAAGGTTTGTCCCCCAGATTCATACCCTAACCCCCAATGTGATGGTGTTAGGAGGAGAGACCACTGGGAGGTCATGAAGTCATGAGGGTGGGGCCGCCACAGGTGGGATAAGTGCCTTTTTAAAAGGGACCTGAGAGAGCTCCCTGCACCTCCTACCTAGCAAGGACACAGTGAGAAGGCGCTGTCTCTGGACCAGGAAAGAGGCCCTCGGCAGAGAGTGGAATCCGCTGTGCCTGGTTGGTGGACTTCCAGCCTCCAGAACCGTGGGAGATGAATTCCCGTTTCTTGTATGTCACCCGGTCTATGATACCTTGTTCTAGCAGCCACATAGACTAAGACCCTGTAGGAGGACTGCACAGCAGAGGGGACTTGGGCTCACCACCATGAGGGGGACAGCGCATTGCGGGGTTAGTGGGGCTTGTGTAGGGGACCTTAGAGCAAGGCCCAGCAAGGAGGAGCTGCTGAGTGGGGGCCTTCAGTGGGTATCCTTATCCTTTTATTCAGGAGGCAAAAAGGACAGAGTGGGCTCTGTCTTGGTCCATTTGTGTGGCTATAACACAATACCTGAGACCCTCACAGGCTGGAGGCTGCAGTCTGAGGCCAGGAGGCTGTGTCTGGTGAGGGCCTTGCTGTATTGTCCTGTAGCAGAAGGGGGGAGGTGGGTGAGAGTGAGAGAGTGGGTGAGAGAGGGCCGGACTGACATGTGTGTTCATGTGTGCATGTGTCTGCATATGTTTGTGTGTTCATGTTGTATGTGCATGCATGTGTGTGCATGTTCATGCATGTACGTGTCTTTTTGTGTGTGCATGTGTCTGTGTGTGTTCACATGTGTGTGCATATGTGCTTTCATGCAGGGGTGAGGGGACATGGAGGGCCAGGGCTGTCTGCAGTCTGCAATGGCAGGTTGGATTCAGCTGTTGTAGGGCCTGCCTCAGTGGCAGGAATGTGGTTTTGGAAATACTGAGCTTCAGGATGAGGTCCCTGAGATGCGATGAAGCTCTGGAGAAAAGCTTCCCACATGGGAAATGCTCCCACAGGTATCAGGAAACAGTAGTGAGGAACGGCATGCCCGGATTTTCTTTGTGGAAAGGTGGTGCTGGCAGCAACCGAGGAGCGGTTTGGGCAAAGTGCAGGTTAAAAAAGAAAGAGGTCAAAACAGAGGTCTGGCAGTCAGAGGTCCGGCAGTAGTGGGTCCGGGAGGGAGTGATGGTAGGCGCTTGCCGAGTGGTGGGGAGGAGGCGGGAGCAGGTCCTTGAGTCTGGGATGTGCGATTGGGTTGCTGTGTGCAGCGTCTTCGTGTGGGTGGCAGTTGAAAACGTGGGCACGAAGATTTTTAGGAGAAGACACCTGCAGGCATTTATGTGGGATCATTGACTCCAGCTATGTTACGCTTTTCATTTCCTTTCTCTTTTTTCAGAACCGTGTATTCCCATGGGCACTTTCAGCATGAATGCCTCTGTTTTCTATTAATTCATGTGCTCCCAGCGGGTGTGTACGGTCAGGAGCGTTCTCTGTGCTCCCCACTCAACACTGGGACCAAAGCTGAGTGTGAGCTGCAGGAATGTCCGCTGAATGAATGAATGAGTGACTAAAGAGGAGTGACCAGAGAGGCAGGAGAATCAGGAGGCTGGCATATTGAGGGTGCCAAGAGAAAACAATTTCAAGAAGGAGGGTGTTTAACAGCACCACGTGTCACACAGACACATCAGGAGGAGTGAGAGGGGGATAGGTCTGTAAAACTGGTGCTGTAAGTTCCCACGTAAGCTTCAGGTGCCTGAGAGTGAAGCCAGGTTGTATTTGGTTGGGGAAAGAATGGAAGTGCAGGAAGTGGGATCATCGGTTACTGATTTTTGAGGCCCTACAAAACAGGTTGAAGCTTTACCCTAGCTATGCAAGGCTGGTTCAATATTCAAAAATCAGTTGATGTAATCATCGCATCAGCAGGCTAAAGAAGAGAAGTCCTGTGGTCATATTCATAGATGCAGAAAAGGCATTTGAAAAAATCCAATCCCATTAATGATAAAAACTTTCAGTGAGCTAGGGATGGGGGAGAACTTCCTGAACTCAATAAAGAAAATCTAACCACCCCCCAACAGCTAAGTTCTTACTAAATGATGAGAAATTTGGAGCATCCCGCAGAGATCAGAAATGAGGAAGCGTAGCCTCTCACCCCTCCTTTTCAAGATCATACTGGAAGTCCCAGCTAATGCAATAAGACAAGAAAAGGAAATAAAAGATATGCATATTGGGATATAATAAATAAAAATGCATTTGTCAACAGATGACATGATTATTTATGTAGAAGATCCCAAAGAAGAATTAGTGGAAAAATCTTCTTCTTCTTCTTTTTTTTTTTTTTTTTTTTGAGATGGAGTTTCGCTCTTGTTGCCCAGACTAGAGTGCAATGGTGCAATCTCAGCTCGCTACAACCTTCGCCTCCCGGGTTCAAGCAATTCTCCTGCCTCAGCCTCTTGAGTAGCTGGGATTACAGGCACACACCACCACGCCTGGCTAATTTTGTATTTTTGGTAGAGATGGGATTTCTCCGTGTTGGTCAGGCTGATCTCAAACTGCTGACCTGAGGTGATCTGCCCACCTCGGCCTCCCATAGTGCTGGGATTACAGGCATGAGCCACGGCACCCAGCAGTGGAAAAATCTTCTGAAACTAATAAACAGTTTTAGCAGGGTTTTAGAATACAGGGTTAATATGCAAAGGTCAGTTACTTCATTTTATACCAGCAGTGAATGAGTAGAATTTGAGATTGAAAACACAGAACCATTTACATTAGTACCAAAAAAATGTAAAATGCTTAAGTAAAAGTTGAACAAAATAGCATAAGATCTATATGAGGAAAACTACAAAACTCTGTTGAAAGAAATGAAAGGAGATCTAAGTAATGGGGAGGCACCCCATATCCCTGGACAGGAAAATCCGTGCTGTTGAGATATCCATTTTTCTTAACGTGTTCTATACATTCAGCGCAGTCCCCATCAGGATCCCAGCATGTTATTTTGTGGATATCAACAAATTGATCCTAAAGGTTACATGAAGAGGCAGAAGACCCAGACAAGTTAACACAGTATTTAAGGAGAACAAAGTCACAGAACTGACAGTTGATCTCAAGACTTACTGGAAAGCTACAGTAATCAAGACAGTGTGGCACTGGTAAACAAATAGACAAATAGATCAATGGAACAGAACAGAGGGTCCAGAGACAGACCCACGTAAATACAGCCAGCTGATCTTTGATGAAGGAGGAAAGGCCATTCAATGGAGAGAGGATGCTCTTATCAACAGATGGTGTGGAGCAATGGGACCTCCATGTGCAACAAAATGAACCCAGAACCAGACCTTACACCCTTTACAAAATTAACACAAAATGCAAAACTATAAAAGTCCTAGGAGACAATGTGGGAGAACCCTGGGTAAGCTTTGATTTGGTGACTTTTTAGATATAACACCAAATGCATGATGCATGAGAAAAATTGAAATTGGACTTCATTAAAATGAACAGCTTCTGCTCTGCAAAGACACTCTTCAGAGGATGGAACAACAAAGTCCAGACCGGGAGAAAATATTTGCAAAACACACACCTGATGGAGGACGAGCATGCAAAATATACAAATAATTTTCAAATTTCAATGGTGAGAAAACAACCTGATTTTTAAAATGTGTAAAAGATCTTAACAGACACCATCAAAAAGATACACAGATGACAAGCCACTGAAAAGATACTCCATGTCATGTGTCATCAGGGAAATGAAAAATAAAACAGCAAGGAGACAGTGCCACACCCCTGCTGGAATGGCCAAGATCCAGACACTGGCAACACCATCAAGTGCTGGTGAGGATGTGGAGCAACGGGAACTCTCATCCTCACTGTGGGGAGTGCAAAATGGTGCAGCCACACTGAAGACCGCTAGGTGGTTCCTTACAACAGTGCACATTTGCCATGCCGTCTAGCAGTCAGGCTCCTAGGTGTTCACCCAGATACTTGAAAACTTCTGTTCACACAAAAACTTGCACATGATTTTTTTTTTTTTTTGAGACGGAGCCTCGCTCTTGTTGCCCAGGCTGGAGTGCAGTGGTGTGATCTCGGCTCACTGCAGCCTCTGTCTCCTGGATTCAAGTGATTCTTGGGCCCAGCCTCCTGAGTAGCTGGGGTTACAGGCATACGCCACCATGCCCGGCTAATTTTGTATTAGGGTTTCACCGTGTTGGCCAGGCTGGTCTTGAACTCCTCACCTCAGATGATCCACCCGCCTTGGCCCTCCAGAGTGTCGGGATTACAGGCGTTAGCCACCGCGCCCAGTGCACATGAATGTTTATAGCAGCTTGGAAACAACCAACGTGCCTTTAAAAGATGAATGAATAACCAAACTGGCCTATCTGGACAAGAAGTGCTGAGAAGGAATGATCTACCAGGCTGTGAAAGGACGTGGAGCAACCGTAAATGCACGTGACTACGTGAAAGAAGCCTGTCGCAAAAGGCTACGCAATGTAGGATTCCGACTGCATGGCATTCTGGAAAAGACAGAACTGTGCAGACAGGAAAGGTTCAGTGGCTGCCATGGGCTGTGGGGAGGGAGGGGTGAATGGGCGGAGCCCAGAGGAATTTTATGACAGGGAAGCGCCTCTGTGTGATGCTGTCATCGTGGGCACATGTGTGGTGCTGTCACCGTGGGCACGTGTAATGCTGTCACCGTGGGCACATGTGTGATGCTGTCACCGTGGGGACATGTGTGACGCTGTCACCGTGGGCACGTGTGTGATGCTGTCACCGTGGGCACGTGTGTGATGCTGTCACCGTGGGCACGTGAGATGCTGTCTCTGTGGGGACATGTGTGATGCTGTCATTGTAGGGACATGTGTGATGCTCTCACCGTGGGCACATGTATGATGCTGTCACCGTGGGCACATGTGTGATGCTGTCACCGTGGGCATATATGAGATGCTGTCATTGTGGCCACATGCCACCGTGCATTTCTCCAAACCCACAGAATGGACAACACCAAGAGTAGCCCTCGTGTAATCAGTGGACTTAATAATTATCAATATTCGCTCCTTACAGCAAATGTTTCACACTAACATAAGCTGTTAATGGTGGGGAAACTGGGGTGGGGAGGAGGGGTTATATGTGAACTCTGTGAACTTTGTGCTCAACTTTTCTGTAAGCCTATAAAAAATAGTATTTTAATTAAAAAATACATCGACATTCTTATTTTATTGTCACTAAAAACCTGAGACATAGACCAGCCCCACCTTAGTCTTCTTTTTTTTTTTTTTTGAGATGGAGTCTCGCTCTATTGCCCAGGCTGGAGTGCAGTGGCGCAATCTCAGCTCACTGCAACCTCCACCTCCTGGGTTCAAGTGATTCTCCTGCCTCAGCCTCCCAAGTAGCTGGGATCACAGGCGCACGCCACGAAGCCTGGCTAATTTTTGTGCTTTTAATATAGGCAGGGTTTCACCATGTTGGCCAGGCTGGTCTGAAACTCCTGACCGCAGCTGATCCATCTGCCTTGGCCTCCCAAAGGGCTGGGATTACAGGTGTGAGCCAGCACACCTGGCCCTGTCTTAGTCTTCTAATTGGAGTTTAGGTGACTGGAGTTTAGGGAAGAGAGGGTGCCTTGCCTGAGAGCTGGTTAGCGGCACGTGTGAGCTGATCTCCATTCTTCTAACTCTGTGGCTTAGTTTATTTCTACAACACAGGGACTGAATGGCCCATCGCCCCCTGCCCAAACCTGCTGGGGGAGGCTGGCTAGCTGGACGTTAGAGTCTGGGGATGAAGTCAGCTGTCTCAGCACCAGGCCTCTGGCTGCCTTCGGTGAGGAGCCAGGTCAACAAAGCAGAACGAGAAGTTGTTAGAATTCTGGATTTGCTGCATTCACTCTGGCAGGTGATTTTTCTCCAGGGCCTTGGTTATTCAAGTAGCAGGAGTGAAGGGGTTAACTGGCAACCCTAATTAGAGTGAGGTGCGGTGTAGGGGCCACCTCACAGGCAGCCGAGATGGAAGACGGAAGACGTGGCTGGGTTTATAAACGCACACATGAGACACATGGGCTTATGTGGGCTTCCCGTAACATTTCCAGTATTGAGGTGTTGCTGTTGCTGTTGTTTGTTTGTTTGTTTTTGGAGCTTATTAGTGTTAATGGTGGTAAAAAGTAGATTAAAGTTACTGCTAATTAAGATGATTTCTTTAAATACTAAATTTGGTTTTAGGTTTAGATTGTTGTTTCCAAATTAAAGAAATAAGAAGGATAAATATTTCTGATTTTTGGCCTTTTTGGTTTTTGCTGTAGATGCTGTCATGGCTCCAGGAGCTTTCCGTACTTCTTGTGGTAGCCTTACAGACGGCCTTTCAGGTGGCCTTCGTTATGTAAATTTTCAAACCCACAGCTTAGAAATTAGAATGGGGTTTTGGGATGACACCCCGGGTTTTGCAGAAAAATCTCTTTTGTGACCAACCACTGGCTGCCGCTGCCAGCTCTGCTGACACCAGCGAATAGCAGAGCTTCTGACCTGTTTGCTGCGGCTGAGAAATGAAAACAGCCCTGGGCTCCAGAAACACTTTCAAGGCTCTCCATTATCCATCGCCTTGGCTTTTCTGTCCCAATGGAATGAATTTCATTGTCCTGGACCAAATGACTTCGCTGGGGCCGTAGAGAATGGGAAGGGTGGACGCCTCCCGGCAAACCGTCTGCATTTGCATAACACTCATGGCAGTGACTCAGTGGTTACTGTGGGGACTGACAGAGTCTTCCTTTTCCAATCCCTAACCTGTCATCCTGGACTTAAACCATTTTCAACTTTTATTTATTGGCAAAAAATGTAAAGATGATAAATGTCCTTTCATTCACTTTTTCATTTGTTCCACAAAAACATAATCGTGTGCGTGTGGCAGGCATGCTTCTTGGTGATGGAGACACGGCAGGTAGCGTGTGCACCCTGTGTGGCGGGGAGTCAGTGAGAAAGACGGAGAAGAAGCAGACAAATCATGCCGTAATATCATACCAAATCATGACGCCTATGAAGAAATGGTAAAGTAGGACTAGGGTGGAGGAGCAATGGGCATTCTCTTGGGTAGGAAGGCTGCTCGTGACCTGAAGGTGAGAGCCGTGCCTGTCCCCTGCTGGACAAATATTCCATACATGGGGGCCACACGTGCAAAGGCCCTGAGGTTGATGTGTTTATAAGTGGCCAGAGAACAGCGGGAGCGGAGGGGACATGAGGAGAGGGAGTGGGGCAGTGAGGTGGGAGGCAGCCGGGACCGGGTGGTGCAGGGCTCAATCTGGGAAAATGAATGATTGTGTGTGTTCTGAACATGCACAGACTTCTTTTGGACATTGTTCCCTACACGATACAGTATAACAACTATTGACATAGCATTTACAATGTCCTAGCTATCACGGGAGCTAGGAGCTGCGTATCTGGGAGCTGCGTAGGTTAGGTACAGACACTGCCCCTTTTTATATAAGGGACTTGAGCATTTGTGGAGTTTGGTGTCTGCACGGGGTCCTGGAACCCCTCCTCACACATACCGGGGATGACTGTACTTCTCCTCATGCTCGCAGTAGAAGAAGTTTGAAGCCCCTAGCACGGAATCTGCTCTGGCCATTTAACAGAAACCAAGAGACCAAACATTTCATGGATCCGTAGCTCCTGTCGTATTTCTTACTGCTTAGTAGGGTCTTGTCGAATGATAGAATAAATTAATAAACAGTCAGGTAGTTTATCCGCTTTTATTTTAACAGCGCTTTTGAAAAGTTTTTACCTTTAATGTGAAATCAAATATGGAATTC